>NC_000013.11:86859039-87162069 GCF_000001405.40 Homo sapiens | reverse complement strand
TCTTGGCTATACGGGCTCTTTTTTGGTTTCATATGAAATTTAAAGTAGTTTTTTTTCTAATTCTGTGAAGAAAGTCAATGTTTGATGGGAATAGCATTGAATCTAGAAATTACTTTTGTATTATAACCATTCTCACAATATTAGTTCTTCCTATTGGTGAGCATGAAATTTTTTTCCATTTTTTTGTGCCCTCTCTTATTTTCTTGAGCAGTGGTGTGTAGTTCTCCTTGAAAAGGTCCTTCACGTCCCTTGTAATTTGTATTCCCTAGGTATTTTATGCTCTTTGTAGCAATTGTGAATGAGAGTTCACTCATGATTTGGCTCTCTGCTTGTCTATTATTGGTTTACAGAAATGCTTGTGATTTTTGCACATTGATTTTGTATCTTGAGAGTTTGCTGAATTTGCTTATCAGCTTATGGTGTTTTGGGGCTGAGACGATGGGGTTTTCTAAATATACAATCCTGTCATCTGAAAACAAAGACAATTTGACTTCCTCTCTTCCTATTTGAACACCCTATTTTTAAAATTCTATACATCTTAACTCTTACCAGTATCTTTAATACTGGTGAAATCCTTGGAACCGTAAGTTTTTACCCATTCCTCCTCTTCTGTAATAGAACACAGCCTACTTAAAAATCACAGAAACTCTGACAGTTTTCCTGGCTTTTGCTTGATATAATTGGCAACAGTAACACCTTGATTAGTTACACTGGCGGAATTAATGATAAGCATTGTATAAATTTTAAAAAGATATGCTCCAAAGGTTTAGTAATATCCTTTTAATATTTTTTTCTAGAAAGGCAGGATTTAAACCCAGGTCTCACTTATTTCAATTACTGTATTCATCAATGTCCTCATTTTCTCTAATGCCCTCCTACAGTAGTGAGCGATTTGTTTATACCATGTGCTTTTCCAGTAAGTGACAACACACACAGAAAACCAATTATAACTAGATTCTCTTAGACAATGAAAAAAAAATGGTTCTCACACTTTTTTTGGTTTTGTTTACTCCTACTTTCCCACTCCCCACCCCATACACTTTTCTAGTTGTCAATGTCACCCTTGCTTTCCCTGCCTTTTCTCCCTCTTCTCTCCCTTTCTCCCACCTCATAATTCAACCCTGAACAAAAATGGTTTTTCAATTTTCTCTATGCAGTAATTAGAAAAGAGTGGGTCAACTTCTTCATTATTTTTTTTCTCAAATTATTCTACATTTTCTGAATTGACCTTAAAGACTGGTATGACTTAAACACTAGGTAGTCTCAAACAGGTATTAGGTGGGTGCAAAAGTAATTGTAGTTTTGGCCATTGAAAGTAATGGCCAAAATAATTGCAATTAAAATAATGGCCAAAGTAATTAAAAATAATGGCCAAAACCTCAATTGCTTTTGCACCCAACTAATATTACCTGCTTTATGACAAAAAACATACTAGCTGCCTTCCTATATTACCTAGTTTACTGTATCTTTTTTATTGTTCGAATCATTGACTATTCTTTAAGGTTTTGAAATTATGATTATTATCTATTAATTAATGGTTTAGTATTAAATTTGAAAGAACAGATTATGGGTTGCTAGCTAGAAACTATTTTTGTAAATAATTTTTTATGTGTATTTTGGCGTGCCTCAGAAATTCCTCAGGCGTAATAATTGTTTTTTAATTATTTCTATTTCTCAACAGTGCCTACCCAAGCCCTCTTTAAAATAAAAGGGACCGGCCATGCGCGGTGGCTCACGCCTGTAATCCCAGCACTTTGGGAGGCCGAGGCGGGCGGATCACGAGGTCAGGAGATGGAGACCATCCTGGCTAACACGGTGAAACCCCATCTGTACTAAAAAATACAAAAAATTAGCCATGCATGGTGGCGGGCGCCTGAAGTCCCAGATACTTGGGAGGCTGAGGCAGGAGAATGGCGTGAACCCGGGAGGTGGAGCTTGCAGTGAGCCGAGATTGCGCCACTGCACTCCAGCCTGGGCGACAGAGCGAGACTCTGTCTCAAAAAAAAATAATAACAATAATGAAAAATCAATTAATTAATTAAAGGGACTACAGAAATTTTAAACATTATCAACATTATAGAATTAATTCTTTATTGTAACCATGTACTACACTAGTTTGGTATTAAATATTCCTCTAGATCCTGTATATTTCTATTGGTGTCATAATTATGAATTAATTATGTCATTTCCTTTAGAGAATGTTCTAGTATGTTTATATTGCCTATATTTTATATATAATGAATACCAAATCAGTAAGCAGTCTTTCATTTATAATGTGTGTGGAAAGATTATTGAGATACATTATATAAAAAGGATGATTGTTGGAGTTAGTTTTCATAATCTTAGTGTAATTAAATTATATTAAATGGGTAAAATGCTTATAACAACCACTTACCTTGCAATGATCTGGTAGAATAGACTAATTTAATTAATAAATATGTAGAATATTTAAATTTCATAGTTACATCTTGACTGGAAATAAAAAGCAGATAAAAAATAGTGAAATTGTGACATTGTTGCCATTTTGAATGACATTTTACGGAAGTCAGTACAGATCGATTATAGTGATTACTATATAGTTTTAAGTTACATAATAATTTCTGGTATTTTTAGGCTTATTTACTACCATTTTAAAATTTTCATATTCCCAATAAATTTGAAAGATATAAATTCAGAAAATGCTGAATATAGTAATCAATATCTCCTTAGTAATTTTGGCTTATTAGCAATTTTACTTAAGAAATTTTCCCAAACCACCCAACCTAAACCAATGAGAAAGAAAATGAACAAAATAATAAATAGAATAAAAATAATTAATATCTAGTTAAAGTTTAGTTTTTCGTTGAGATACGACAACGCTATAGGAATTTTACATTTCAGTAATTAAAATGTGATGACACCATATTTTACAAGTACAAGATTATAGTAAGAGGCATCTTCCTCAAAATTAATCACCTGTGTTTCTTCTGCAGGTTGTGCAAGATCATATATATATATATATATATATATATACATCATTTTATTCATAGACAGAAAGTTAATAACATATATTTCATCTTCTTACTCTTTGCCTCCTAGCTTTTACACATTTGTTGTCATATATTATTAGAAAATTATGTTCCTCATCTTTTACTTTAGTCATTTTATTATTTGTTTAACTTTTATCTTAAGTTCAGGGGCACAAGCACAGTTTTGTTACATAGGTATACTTGTGCCATGGGGGTTTGTACAATTTGTTTCATTATCCAGGTCTTAAGCCTAGTACCCATTAGTTATTTCTCCTCATCCTCTCCCTCCTCCCACTCTCTACCCCATGAAAGGCCCCAGTTTGTGTTGTTCCCCTCTATGTGTCCATGTGTTCTCATCATTCAGCTCCCACTTATAAGTAAGAACATGAGGTATTTGGTGTTCTGTTCCTGTGTTAGTTTGCTGAGGATAATGACGTCCAGCTCTATCCATGTTCCTGCAAAGGCCACAATCCCATTTTTTGAGGGTTGTATAGTATTCCATGGTGTATATGTACCACATTTTTATTTTATTATAATTACAATTTGCTTAGTTATTCATCTACTGACAGTTTATATTGGATTTATTAGTAATTAATCACTTAGATCATTTATAAAATGATTTATTGGATGCTTTTTTTGAAAATAAAATAGGGTAAATTGCTAACAGTGAAATTGATAAGATGTATATTATAAGGTCACTTTAAATTTTTTATTTTTATTGCCAGAGTTTTGAAATAGTATACACTCTTTAATAAGATAATTTTACACACAACCCTGCCATAATAGTGAATCTTAATTTTTGATTAGCATTTAGTTAATTAGATAAGCCAATTATATTTTGTGTTGTAGTAATGTTCTTTTATATTGAACTTATTACTGATTTGTATTATCTTTATAAATTAAGAAAATTAGCTATTGTCCATTCATTATGTTAAAATATCTATTCTTACAATGCCATTTTTTCAACTACACTTACTGTATTTTTCATATAAAAGTTTTTGATTTTATGTAAAAAAATCAATAAAGTCTTTATGACTTCTTTTGTTAGCGTCATCCTTAGCAAATATCCCCAAAATTATTATTATGCATAAATCCTCTGACTCTTACTTTAATATAATTTCTTTCCAAGTTACAAATATTGGTATTACAGGGAGGCAGAAACTCCATAAACATTTTAAGCAGGTCCAGATGGTCCAAACCAAATTCATCAGATTCAGGCAATATCGTTACAAATAGACATGAAAGGGAAACAGTGATGGTACAAGTTGTTCTTGTTGCATAGATTGAAAAGCATCAATAAATCCCTTTATTAACATTTGCCATCCATTAATATTCAATATTTGAGTCCATAAACTTAGGTCTTTAACTAATATTAAAAATCCTGAAGCCGAACTTTGATTTCCAACCTCTGAACCTCTTCTTGATTTAAGTGTCGGTCAGAATTTGGAAATCTGGTGTTTTATTATCAAAGTAATTTCATGTCAGGAACATGTCAGGAAATAATATAAAAAAATTATTTCCAAATACAAAAACAGCCACCTGAAGTAAATCAAAGCCACATCAAAACCACACATCATTATCTTAATCTAATATATTACCTAAAATGTGTAGTTGAGAATTTTTTGGAAAAATACAAGCCTGTGTACACTTAGTTTAAAATCACGGTCTATTATTTAATCACAGAACATTAAAAAACAAACAACCTTTTTACCCTGAAAAACACTATATATATATACATAGTATATATAGAAATATATATTTCTAAAATAGTCTGAAACCCTATTGACGTAATGTTCTATTCAGTAGTTCTGCATCAGATAACCCACTGAAAATACTAACATCCTAATCATACAAATACTTCGTCATTATCTAGGCTTTGGGTTCCAATGTCATTTGATGGAGAATGAACTCTTCTATATTTCCTTGTTGGGCATAATAAAAGAAACACATCTACAACAATTTTGGCTTAACAAAACCTTCACCTTTCCAGATGTTAGCATATCTTTGGTGCCCTTTTGACCTGGCATTTATTTTTTCTAATGTTTTCTAATAATGCATAAATTGACTTTATCATTTTAGGAGAGCTATTTAGTTTCTTATTTTTATTTATACATTTATTTGTTATTATTTTATAACTCGATAATAAATACCTATAGCTGGACAGTCATCAGAAATTAATTCATTTTCAATCTTTAAAATATTCATGATTCTTAAATTTGCTGAACATTTCCACACTTGCTTTGAAACAAAATTTCTTAAAAATATATTATATCTCTCCTTCATTACCTTTGCCTTCAGAACATTGAAGATATGCAATCCTTTCGCAGCAGTAGCACTGTGATCATGGCATCTTATAGTAATTGTGGTCATCAAACTATAGCAAATGTCTCTCTCTCTCTCTTAGTCTCCCTTACAAGTTATGCTTAAAACAACCAGTCAATAAGGCATGCCAGAGCTAAAAAGACTTGTATAGTTCCCTTTTATTTTTCCTCCAAAAGAACAGTTTGTGCAAAACTGTGCAGATACAAATGGCCGACCTTATGGTTGTTATGAGCTTGGGTCTCTAGATATATTTATTACTTCCAGCTTTTCCTGTTAAGTATGAGCTTTATACTTAAAGATACACCTCCTATCTTCCCATCCTTTTCTAATTTCTCAGAATGTATTTTAGCTCAATAAGTTGAGGATTATAACAAGAGTGCACAACCCACTTAAAAAACAAACATGAGGCCCATTCCCAGTAAAACACGACTGCAATGCAATCTACATTCTTCCCTCTCAGCTAGGAGGCAAATTAACATTATACTGACATCTACAAGTATATTAACATGTAGGTTTATAAATCAAAAATTAAATTTTAGGTATTTTGAAAGGAACTTCATCGAATAGCAAGAGTTAAATTGTGACGGGTACCTGTATGTTTCTGATATATGTATAGACCACTCAATTTGAAGATACAACTAAATTAAATGTTTCTTTATTGCTTATTTTTTATTTGTTCTAGACATTTTTTATGAATGACAATTTGACATATGTTGCATTTCCATTCACTGCATTTCCATTCATCTTTCCTTATTTTATTCATTTCTAATTAATTCTGGGATAGATTTCCTGGAAAAGTACCACTACTGAGTAAATTTAATGCATAATTGATTTTTCTTTTTACAAATTTGATTTACATATTTAATTTCATGTCTTGATTATTATATTTGTTTTTGTTGCTAAATTCATCTGTCTTTTTTTAACCTCAATTTTCCATCATACTACCTCATTTTTAATTTTATTTCCATAGATTTAAAATAAATTGGTTGAACATCACCTGGATTTAGCTCCAAATGGTTTAATTGAATATATATATATATATATATATATAATTTTGTGTATATGTAATATATGTGTAATAGTACTATATAAATAATTTTTAGCCCCAGCTTTCATGTGCCTGTGATTGTACACTTTATATGGTAATAGTATTTGAAAATATTTCTTATCCTGTTACATTGCAAATAATCTATTTTGGGTTTTCTTCCTTACATCAATTTCTATAATTCTGTTAAACAATCAAAACCTTCCAATTAAAAAATTCATTAATAAATCTATTTGATTCTTTAACATTCAAACCTTAACAATCAAGGTTCATCTTTCTTATTCCTTGAACGATGAATAGAATAAATCTTAACACTCATCTATGGGCCACTGTTTTAAATTGTATGCTAAATACACTTAAGAAATATAAATTATTGATATTAATTTTATTTGTAATAGATAAATATTTTAAAATATACAGTATAGATAAAAATACACAGTACAGATGAACTTGTTCTAATAATATTTTTTAAATGTGCTGAAAATGTACTTTGTACTACATCTATTACTAAGTGCTTATACACATTATTTTCTTCAACTTCACCAAAATTAAAATAAATAGATCAGAAATTTATATTTATAACTAAAGTTTAATTATAAGGAAATTAAGGCTTCATTAAGTAAGCTATCGAACAACTATACTTTAATTATACTTTAGCATATGGTTCCCCAACCCCTGGACAGGTGCTTGGTTGCACAGCAGGAGGTGAGCCATAGGTGAGGTAGTGAAACTTTATCTGTATTTACAGCCTCTCCCCATCACTCCCAATACTGCCTGAGCTCTGCCTCCTGTTAGATCAGTGGTGGCATTAGATTCTCATAGGAGGGTGAACCCTGTTGTGAACTACTCATGCAGTGGTTCTAGGTTGTGCATTCCTTATGAAAATCTAATGCCTGATGATCTGTCACTTTTTCCCATCACCCCTAGTTGGAACCATCTAGTTGTAGGAAAACAAGCTCAGGGCTTCCACTGATTCTACATTATGGTCAGTTGTATAATTATTTCATTATATATTACAATGTAATAATAACAGAAATAAAGTGCACAATAAATGTAATGCACTTGAGTAATCCTGAAACCATCTCCCTACCTCACTCTCCCCTTTGTCTGTGGAAAAATTGTCTTCCACTAAACCTGTCCAGTGCTGAAAAGGTTGGGGACTTCTGCTTTAGCAAACTGTGTTAGAAAAACCCATATCAATATTTATACTCCTCTCACTGTGGACACATTTTGGGCCTAACAGTAAAGAAATATATCCTCTCTAATCAAATTTTGAATATTTATTTATTTTTACTTATCATATCTCATATTTTTGAGCTTACATTCCTCTCATTTGTTTACACACTGTATATATTAGGGCAAGTTTTGTTTTGTTTTTTAAATCAGAATTTGTGAAATACTTATCCATATGCTCTTGTTACTTACATGTCTTTTTAAACTTGGGAACTGTTCCACATGGACATCTCTGTATTTCTGTCCTTGCCTACAGGAGAAGTATTTATTTTGGCTAATAGAAAATGAATTGTCAAAATATAAGCCTTTAGGATATAAAGCCACCACATTCATAAGACATTACTAAATTATCAGGAAGAATCATGATGAAGAAACTTTAAATTGGAAGAGAGGTATATTTATTGGTATTTACTTTGTAACAAATTACTCCAAATCGACTAGTTTAAAACCAAAGACATTTATTATTTTTCACATCTTTATAGGTCAAAGAGTCAGTTATTGTGGTCTGTCTAGGCTCAGATAGGTCTGAATAGTATACGAGTGGTTGGCAGGCTGGTTACCCTCAAGGAACTCACTCACATGTTGGCAATTTGTTGAATATCAAAGTGATGATCATGTGTCTGTCTTAAGCAGGATATCTTGTACTAATTCATATGATGTGGTGGTAGCTTTTCAAATCAGCAAAGTAAGACATCTTCTCTGTTTAGGCCACATTTAAAAAATTACCGTTGGCAAGAGCAAGTCTCATGTCCAAGCCTCTGTTCAAGGGGTGGAGAAATTAATAATGTATTCATTCACTTTGCTACCTAGTGAGAACTGACAGCATGTCAGAGAATCAGATGATCCTGTGTCTTAGGGACATATGAAGGGTAGAGAATACATGGCTCAAAGAACAGAGAACAATGGGTATCCAGACATCTCAGCAGGTGCCGCCTGGAGGCATGTCTATCTTTGGCATAACAGTGCACAGATAAGTCAATGTCAACATACTCTGGCGCCAATAACAAAGTATTATCATAGATTCTTCCCTGGAACTTTATGCAGTCCTACAGAGATAGTTTTTTATTTTGATAATGAATTCTGCTTAAATTTATGTAAATAATTATGGATAATTCAGATCAGGTATATAAATATATATACATACATGCCCAGACACAGAAGTGTACAAACACACACACACACAGCACCTAGCCTTAACTGTAGGTGTTAAACAAAAAGTAATGCCTGAATGTGAGATTCATTCTCACAGATAAGATATTCTTGTTCATCTTTCCAGAGAGTTTTTCTTTTTATATATATATATATTTTTTATTATACTTTAAGTTCTAGGGTACATGTGCACAACATGCAGGTTTGTTACATATGTATACGTGTGCCATATTGGTGTGCTGCACCCATTAACTCGTCATTTACATTAGGTATATCTCCTAATGCTATCCCTCCCCCCTTCCCATTCCCCACAATGGGCCCCGGTGTGTGATGTTCCCCTTCCTGTGTCCAAGAGAGTTTTTCAAATCAAATGTGAATGTGACCAGTGCTGCTTATACATCATGCAGGATTTTATGGGAGCCTCCAGATATCTGTGATACAAATTTAGACTCTTGCTTCAAATGAGTTAGAATGTCACATAAATAAAATTGATAACGCTCAATGCACATTTATTTATTTAAAATAACTATATGACTAAACTTTCTATTTTAAATCAGGTATATAAGCAATAGCCAAAATAAACATTGCAATGTATTTTATATCTTGTATTTCTAAAATAAAGCTTTCATAATCAGATAGTTTCTAGAAATATAATTACCAAGTGTGTTATTTTCTGTGCACCTAGAAACTGTCTCCTAACAGCCCTTAAAAATTGATCTACTGCTTTGTTATTCTAATATCCAGTAAAATAAAAATGAACTTCTAAGCATTGTAACAATATGTAAATCATTAAAAGAGCATTTTACTGTTCTTAAACAATGGCAAGGCTTTTATTCAAAACAACTCAAAAAGCTCTTTCATACAACTTAATATGTCTGTGTGTGTGCTCAAAATGATATGTGTATTTATATATGTAAAACAATTTATGGCCATTAACCCTACATTAGTAATTTTGTCAATATTCAATAAGATTGGTTTTTTGTTTATCAAAGTAATACGTCACATGCTCCAAATATTTTTACTATACATTATGATAAAATATACATCTTGAAGAAAAAAGATTTCCATCCCTTAAATATATGTAGGGTTTATCACATCCAGGAGAGTCTTACTTGGGCCAAAACTCATCATCTTTTTAATTACCAGATTAAACCCATTAATATTCCATTTATATCCAAACATTTATTTGTCTTAGAACCAAGCTCAGAGGTCATAAATAACATATGGCTATCCTGATCATGAATACACTTAACAGTTCATTTCAATTCTATTTTAGTTTAGTGCTGTACATTTTCTTAAGAAGAAAAATACTTATTTTCAAAATGTTAAAACTTGCTGACTGATGCAGCTTTAATTTAAACATTCTTATTTGAAGAAGAAAAATATATAACTACACTGTAAATTATCCTGTTTTTTTAAAATACTTAGATTTTTTAATATATCTAGAAAGATGTATTCATAAGTTAAAATGGTAATTCTTGAGTTTCTTTCTAGTGCCAAAGGTTGAGGCATTTTGTTGGAAGTAGTATATACTGGAAAGAAAAGCAAAATGAGCCATTCACCACGGTTTCAGAGACTCTGCATTATGATTTCGGGGATATTTGCATTCTGGTTTCAAGATTCAAGGAGACAAATACTATTTTCTGTCCATGTGGGTACACTATATTAGTTTTTGTTGCTGAAAAACACATTAGCATAAATTCAGCACCAAAAAAGCAATATTTATTTATTAACTTCCAGGTCTGTAGGTCAGATGTCTGGGTACGTCATAGCGGAATTCTCTGCTCAGCATCTCAAAAGATTGAAATGGTATTAACTGGGCTGTTTGCCTTCTGAATGCTGGGGTAAATATCTATTTCAAGTTCATTCAGGTGGTTGGCTCACTAATTTCTTTGCTGTTGTAGGATTGAAGTTACCCTTTGTCTGCTAACTGTGCTGGTGATCACTCAGCTTCTAAAGAGCAGCCTTCTCCACTAGCAGCTCACAACATGGGTGTTTGCCTTCTTCCAGACAAGCTGGAATTTATCTTTCTGATTTCTGTTTTTAATTCTAGACAGGGAAAATATTGCTTTTGAAGGGTTCACCTGATTTGGTGAGGCCCATGCAGATAATCTTTCTACCTTACAATCAACTATGCCCTATAACATAACCTCATCAAAGAGTAAAATCTATCATCTTTGCAGATCTGCAGATTATTCAGGACATATGCACCAAAAGAAGAGATATCTTGAAGGATATCTGAGTATCCTCCCAGACACTAATGACAGAATGTTAATGTAGGTATAAAAGATGTTCTTGTAAAAATTTTCTCTCTAAAAATTGCAACATTTTTGAGGACGTTTGGAAGGTTATGGCTTACTACAGGACCGAAAGTTGAAAATGTGAATACTGATAAAAATATAAAATGTGAATATCTTATCTCCTACTTTCCATTTTTATGTTTGATTCTTTGGCACTTTTGTAATAACACAACGAATGTCATATATTTTATCAAAGTATTGATGATATTTATTTCAATAATGGGTGCTCATTTATAACAAATAATAATGTACTGTATGGGACATTCAGATTCCATCTCTTACTAAAAGCAGTAAGCACTTATAATTCTGTAAAGCATACAAATTCTGGAATCTCTCTATTAAATTTTATTTCTACTTACAGACTAGCCAGTTCTTTCAAGAGCTCATTATTGTCTTGCAATATCTTGTCAAATATATCCAATAACAACCAATACATACTATTTCCTTCATTTTTTTCAAGATCTTCTCCTACAGTTAGATTTTTTTCCAAGTTTAGTTAGCATACCAAGATACTGTCGATAGCAAGGGAACAAAATATTTTGCCAATGATTAATGTATATGAATATTTTTTTCTTCTATTAGTTTTTTGCCACCTAAAAATTGAGTGCTAATTCAATAACACATATATCAGATTTTTGCTTTGTCACAATGGCTATAGGATGTCAAGTCTACACTCATTTTACATGCTTAGTGCCCATGGGGTCCTCCTTCCCACACAGGGCTGTGAGCTTCTGGAGGTTATTCCATCCTGTGCTGCCACATCTGGCATATGTGGCCTTCAAGGATGCTTCAGAAAGGAGAGTAGGCTCAAGGAGGCACACCTTTACCTTAATGCCCCAATCTAATTAAAGCAGAGCCTGAAATATGGGATAAAGCAGGTATAGCCACTAAATACCTCTCTCATAGCTGTCAACTAAGCAAATTGCAAATATAGCAAAAATTCAAAACCAATAAATGCGGAGAAAAGTAAAGACTTCAGATAAAATCACAAACAGAGATGTGTCACTGAGGTATTTGTTCTTTGAGTTAGCCAGGCATGCATACTAAGTCTCAAGGTCTTTTCTAAAAGACTGAGATAGATAGATCTCTCTCTCTCTCTCTCTCTCTCTCTCTCTCTCTCTCTCTCTCTCAGGGCTGCTACTTTTTGGAAGCCATGTTTATTTTAGAATGGTGTCCAATGGGGAGATTAGGCTAGCTTTAAAACATATTCTCTGGGTTGAAGGTGATCACCAATTCATATATATATATATATACACACACACACACACACACATATATATGTATATATATATACTTGTATATATATATACACACACAAATATATAGATTTGTATTTATATGTATAAAAAATATTTTCTTATATTTATGGGTCAATCCATACATTTATTTTTTTTCGCTGTGCCCATGCTTTTCTTGAAAATGCAATCCACTAATCTATGGAAAATATCTCTACAATAATATTCTAAATTTTATAGTGGTGGGAACATCTGAGAGAGCATGTCATCATTTAGCGAACTATGTATCATGTTTAGACTTCTGATTTAGAAGCCTTAATTTCAAAAGTTTTCAATTCAGTTTTTGTATAACTATTCTTCAAATCATACTCATCACAGTCTTAGGAAATTATGCATTACAAGCCCAGATTATTTGATGCTTCCCCAATCATACTGAATTGCATTTGTTGAGATGGATCACTGAGACAATGTATTTTAAAAGCATTACCATCAAGTAATTCACATACAAATTTTAGGATGACTGTTCTGACCTCACTGGATCCAGCCTATGTAAACTGTGACTAGAAATGGGAGAGAATAAATTGGTACAACCACTTTGGAAGGTTGTTTAGCATTATCTATTAAAACTGAGCATACTCATGAGGCAGCTATTCTGCTCTTAGATATATTCTCAACACAAATGTATATATGTCTTTTCAATAAGACAAGCACAAAATATGTGCATTACTTATAGTAGTACAGACTGTAAATAATGCACTTCCCTATCAGCAGCAACAAATGATTTAATTATGGTAAGTCCTCTAATGGTGTACTCTATAGGAAAGAAAATGAATAAAGTACGTTATGGACAGCATCAGGACCATGTTAAAAAAAATTTAAAGAAAATGGTCATACATAAATAAAAACTATACGATATAATTTATATTATATTCAAGAGCAGGCAGAACTAGTCTATCCAGGTAACAGTTACCTTTGTTGGGGAGCAGTATTTCTCATCTATAAAATGCGATTTATAAATTCCAAATATGCAGATATAGTAATAGGTACTATTAAATTATATAATCAATGAGGTATTGCTTTATGAATTTATTATTTGTTTTCAGATACGTAGCTTCTCACTGTTATATTCACACCCCAACGTCACCTCAAAAGAAGAGGTACAGCTTAGAGTAGGTGAAATGATGAGTTCTTATTAAAGTGTTGTCTCTTTTACTCTCTTGTTCCACGTTGATATACTGTTTAAAAGGCTCAGGGATGCTACTTTTTGGAAGCTGTGTTTATTTTAGAGTGATGTCCAATGGGGAGATTAGGCTGGCTTTAAAACATATTCTCTGGGTTGAAGGTGATCACCAATTCGTCTCTGATTTCCTTCAGAGCTGTCCTTCGGCACCTTTCCCTTTACAACTATTGTTGCAGTTACAGATTGATGTAATATTACTGGCAATGGAAGAAGCCACTACGAAGTTTAGCCATGAGCCTAAGCAAAAGGAATCTTCAATTCAGCCCAATATAGTAAACTAGAGATTCAGAGAGCATTTTAGTGGCAACTGAAAAAGAACTTTGCTTTCATGTTCTTGATCTGGTTTACATATACATATATATATATATATATAATATTATATAATAAATAAGTATATATTTATATATACACACACACACACATACATACATACATATATATTACTTTTTCTAATATGAACTCATGGTGGGGCTTTGTTAGGGCAAAGTTTTGGTTTTGTGATGATGAATCTGGCCAAATCCACTAACCCTACAAGTGCTCATGGTGTTGTATAGATATCTACTTTTGATAGACATCCATACCCATTTTTATGCATTTTAAAAGAAAACAAACAGATAATCATAATACATGTTTATAAATTATTTAATTATTTTTCAATATTCATTTTCAAATTGTTATCATAACCTGAATTTCCAAGGTATATGTTCCAAATACATTGGGAAATAACAAGGGTTCAACTACCAGAAACTTTCTTTCCTTTATTCTATCCAATGTAATAGTATTCATCTTTATAGGTTTTTTATAGTCAGCTTCAAGAGAAGCTTTTACTTGAAGAAAATATGATAATGATACAAAACAATTTTAAGCTGCTGTTTTGAAATAGCATTTCCCTATGTAGAACTTTGGTATCATTTAAAATATTTTCAATGCTTTGGGCCACAACAAAACCTCACATATAAATCAGTTAATAAGGGTATACATTTAATTCCAAGTAGATGTTTTCTGAATAGTATTTTATATACATCACTATAATAATTGTTATCATACATAATAACAATTCATTACAAAGTCTTTATAATTTATCATGAAAAAACTGTAAAATCTGGGAATTAAGCTATGTGTGGAGAGCTTAATGACTCATACATTTGCAGAAGGCAGTTCTGTGCTTATTTACTAGAAAACATAATTAGATTATTCATTTAAGATTTTCTGGCTACATTCAACTCAACACAAAAGGGAAGTGGTCATTGACTTACTAGATTACCATGTCTCTGACATGTTTTAAAAATTACTCATCTCTCACTTGTGCTTTTCATCCTGTTCTCTCTAAATATTTATTCCCTTCATATTAGTCCATTTGCACACTGCTATGAAGAAATACCAGATACTGGGTAATTTATAAAGGAAGGAGATTTAATTGAATCACAGTTCCACATGGTTGTGGAGGCCTCAGGAAACTTATAATCATGGCAGAAGGCAAAGCAGAGGCAAACAACATATTATTCTGCCCCTGGCCCCTCCAAAATCTCATGTCTTCACATTTCAAAACACAATCATGCACTGCCAACAGTCATCCAAAGTCTTAACTCATGCCAGCATTAACCCAAAAGTGCAAGTTCAAAGTCTCATCTGAGACAAGGCAAGTCCTTTCTGCCTATGAGCCTGTAAAATCAAAAACAAGTTAGTTACTTCCCAGATAAAATGGGGGTACAGGCATTGGGTAAATACACCCATTCCAAATGGGAGAAATTGACCAAAACAAAGGGGCAAGAGGCCCCATGCAAGTTTGAAATCCAACAGGGCAGTCATTACACCTCAAAGTTTCAAAATGATCTTCTTTGACTCCGTGTCTCACATCCAGGTAAAGCTGCTGCAAGAGTTGGGCTCCCACAGCCTTGGACAGCTCTGCCTCTATGGCTTTGCAGAGTGCAGCCCCCCTCCTGGCTGCTTTCACAGGCTGGCACTGAGTCTCTGTGGCTTTTCCAGGTGCCTAGTGCAAGCTGCCAGCAGGTATAGTATTCTGGGTTCTGGAGGACAGTGGCCTTCTTCTCACAGCTACGCTAGGCAATGCCCCAGTAGGGACTCTGTGTTGGGGCTCCAACTCCACATTTCTGTTCTGCACTGCCCAAACAGAGGTTCTCCATAAGGGCTCCACTCCTGCAGCAAACTTCTCCCTGGACATCCAGGCATTTCCATACATCCTCTGAAATCTAGGCAGAGGCTCCCAAACTTAAATTCTTGACTTCTGTGCACCAGGAGGCCCAACAACATGTGTAAGCTGCCAAGGCTTGGGGCTTGGACTCTCTGAAGAAAAGGCCTGAGTTGTACCTTGGTCCCTTTAAGCCATGGCTGGAGCAGCTGAGACACAGTGCACCAATTCCTGAGGCTGCACACAGAAGAAGGGCCCTGGGCCAAGCCCAGAAAACCATCTTCCCCTCTTAGGCCTCTGGGCCTGTGATGGCAGGGGCTGCTGTGGAGGTCTCTGACATGTCCTAGAGCCATTTTCCCCATTGTCTTGATGAATAACATTTGGCTCTTGGTTACTTATGCAAATTTTTGAAGGCTGCTTGAATTTCTCCTCAGAAAATGAGTTTTTCTTTTTTATCTCATCATCAGGTTGCACATTTTTCAAATTTTTATGTTCTGCTTTCTCTTGAATGCTTTGCCGCTTACAAATTTCTTCTGCCAGACACCCTAAATCATCTATCTCAAGTACAAAGTTCCACAGATCTCTAGGGCAGGGACAAAATGCTATCAGTCTCTTTGCTAAAACAGCAAAAAGTCACTTATGTTCCAATTCCCAAGAAGTTCCTCATCTCAATCTGAGACCACCTCAGCCTAAACTTCAATGTCCATATCACTATCAGCACTTTTGTCAAAGTCATTCAACAAGTATCTAGGAAACTTCATACTTTCCCACATCTTCCTGTCTCCTTCTGAGCCTTCCAAACTGTTCCAATCTCTGCCTGTTACCCAGTTCCAAAGTCATTTCCACATTTTTGGTATCTTTACAGCAGTCCCCCACTACCTTGGTACTAATTTACTGTATTAGTGTATTCTGACACAGCTATGAAGAAATAGCTGAGACTGGGTCATTTATCAAGGAGAGAGGTTTAATTGACTCACAGTTCCACATTGCTGGAGAGGCCTCAAGAAACGTACAATCATGGCAGAAGGGAAAGGAGAACCACGCACCTGCTTCACAGGGTGGCAGGATGAAGAAAGTGCAAGCAGGGGAAATGCCTGATGCTTCTAAAACCATCAGATCTTGAGAGACTCAACTCACTCGTTGTAATGAGAACAGCATGGGGAAAACCATTCCCCTAATTCAATTACCTCCACCTGGTCCTGCTCTTGACACATGGGAGTTATGGGAATTACAATTCAAGGTGAGATTTGGGTGAGGACACAGAGGCAAAGTGTATCACCTTGAGAGACCTTATCCTTTGAGAAGGGTGAAAGTCACCAAATCCTGATTATTCACTTAAATTCCAAACTCCATATTTTATATTTTATTGATAGGAAAAATTTGATGGAGGATATTGAGGAGCAAATGACTGATAGATAAAACTACCAGTAAAGCCAGGTGCAGTGGCTCAGGTCTGTAATCCCTGCACTTTGGAGGCTAAGGCAGGAGAATCACTTAAGCTCAGGAGTTTGAGACCAGCCTGGGCAACATAGTGATGTCCTGCCTCTACAAAAAAAAATAAAAAAGAAAATAGCTAGGCATGTTGGCATTCTCCTGTATTCCTAACTACTCAGGAGACAGGGAGATGTTTGAACCCAGGAGATTGAGGCTGCAGTGAGCTGTGATTGTACCCTGCACTCCATCCTGGGTGACAACAAACAAGTTCATAATTAGAAGACTGACATGAATTTGTTTAAAAATATTGTATATATATATGTGTGTGTGTGTGTGTGTGTGTGTGTGTCTGTGTGTGTGTCTGGGCCAGTGGGGCTTTTGTTAGAAATAGAATCATTTCCTAGGCTCTTAACTAAAGTATCTGGCTATCATATTGTATTGTTTCAATAATAAGGGGTTATAGAGCTTTAGGAACTTTTCTTTTTTAATCTGTAATGCAGAGCAACCCAAGGATGAATTTTACTCCCAAATGTCAGTGCATGACTTTTTTTTCACGAGTTGGTTTGGAGGATTTATTGGTTTATTTAATAAATATGTTTTGAGGTCCTATAAGTTTCAGTCACTAAGTATTGAATCATGAGCAAAGAGAGACACCAATGTGAAGAGAGGTCCTAAACAACGTGAGGTCGAATAAACATATGAGCATTAACATAAAAATTGCTGCTAAATTTCTTAATATTCACAAATGCAAGAAATATTTGGAGTACGGTTATATATACCAACAGTCTTCTAATCTAGACTTTCAGTCTAGGAGACCACTTGATATTTCCCTCCTTGTTATTTGACAATACTAACACCTGAGAATAATTTTCTTATTGCTATACATACATGTAAATATACATGAGAGAAAGTAGAGAAGGGGGTGAATATAAGTTGACTAGTTACTTACAAGCCAGGATGTGACTTAAGCTAATGGAGTAGACACCACAGAAAAAACAATTGCATGTAGAGAAACACACTTGCGTACACACACATACAAAATCAATTGTTGCTAAAGTATGAATTATGGAGGCGTTGATATTGTGGGCAAATACAAGATATATACACCATCTATATATCTATATCTATGTCTATCTATCTATCTATACACACACACAAATTTAAATTTTTGACACTTCTTTCTTGTATTCTTATGCACATAATTTCTGATATAATTATTGATATACTCAAAACTTACAAAATCAGGCTATTCGCTTCTTCATTTGTAATTGGCTAATAATTTATATATATATCACACTGTCGTGTGTATATTAGTAGAAATTTAAAAACAGTGCAAATGTCTAACAGAAGCAAAACATATAAATCAGTATATTTTATCATAATAGAGTATTGGCTAGTATTTAATTATTAAAAATAACACCTTCAAAATCATATGGAAAAAAGAAATATGAAGTTTTTTATGTCATTTTATTTAATTTTTCTTATGAAACTACATTTTATTGATGGAGATTGAGATAATGTTACAAAGCAGTTACAAAACTTGAAAAGCATTGTAAAAAATTGATGAAAGAGCTGATTTTTTTCTTTTAATCTTTATCATGTTATGTACTTTTAAAACCCGTGTACCATATATATACTTATTTTATAATCAGAAAGTATATTAAATGAACATAATACCCATATATAATTAACTCAGTATGTATTGAATAATAAATGTGTTTCTGGAGCTTTATTTAAAACTAATTATGATGATATGTTATTCTACAAAGTTGCACAAATAATACACTTCAATAATTATTTTAAGTACTACATCAGGGTTAATGTAAAAAGAAGACAGTTTAAACAATCCTGATGGGAAATTGAGAACTGTGCATTTTAGCAAGTGAAATGTTAATGGTATTTGCAGAAAGAATAGGGTTTTACTAGGCATAAACTTATTAGAAAAATAATTTGCATATAGGAGACAAATTACATGAAACATGAAAGAGTCATGAACATAACTTAGGGAAAGACAACTTCTTCAGTAAATGGTGCTGGGAAAACTGAAAATCTATATGCAGAAGTATAAAACCACACATATTTCACCTTTTGGATACCTCTATTAAAACTCACTCTGTTTACATAATAAGTTATTAACAGATGTCACTTCCTTGGTAGACTAATTACTTTGAGAGGTAGATTTACTTTAATTCTTTATTTTGACCCTTGAGATTGTATTCTAGTAGCTGCAGACAATGTTAAACTTTACGTGAAGCATATGATCCTGCAAAATAGTAATACCACAGTCTCTTGGTGTTCTGGAAACAGGTTACTATAAACAATCACGCCTTCTCATTGATTTAGGCAAGACTCACAGAATTCTCCACCCCTTGTTTAGATTGTGAAATATATCTCGCTATATACTAAAAAGTTCTGTGTAGCAAAGGAAACAGAAGAATGAAGAGACAACCCATTGAATGGAAGAAAATATTTGCAAACTAATTATCCAACAAAGGACTAATATCCAAAATATATAAGTAACTCAACAACTCAGGAGCAGAAAACAAATAACCTCACTAAAAAGTGGATAAATTATCTGAGTAGACACTTTTCGTTTTTTAAATTTTTTAAATTTTACTTTAAGTTCCGGGATAGAAGTGCAGAACGTGTAGGTTTTTTACATTAGTATACGTGTGCCATGGTGGTTTGCTGCACCTGTCAACCTACCACCTAGGTTTTAAGCCCCGCATGCATTAACTTTTTGTCCTTATGCTCTCTCTCCCCTTGCCCCCCATCCTCTGACTGGCCCCAGCGTGTGTTGTTTCCCTCCCTGCGTCCATGTGTTCTCATTTTCCAACTCCCACTTATGAATGAGGACATGCAGTGTTTGGTTTTCTGTTTCTGTGTTAGTTTGCTGAGGATGATGTCTTCCAACTTCATCCATGTCCCTGCAAAGGACATGATCTCATTCCTTTTTACGGCTGCACAGTATTCCATGATGTATATGTACCACATTTTCTTTATACAGTCTATCACTGATGCACATTTGGGTTCATTCCATGTCTTTGCTATTGTAAATAGTGCTGCAATAAACATGCATCTGCATATGTCTTTATAGTAGAATGATCTATATTCTTTTGAGTATAGATCCAGTAATGGGTTTGCTGGGTCAAATGGTATTTCTGGTTCTAGACCCTTGAGGAATCACCACACTGTACTTCCACAATGGTTGAACTAATTTACATTCCTACCAACAGTGTAAAAACATTTCTATTTTTCCACAGCCTTGCCAGCATCTATTGTATTTTGACTATTTAATAATTGCCATTCTGACTGGCATGAGATGGCAACTCATTGTGGTTTTGATTTTCATTTATCTATTGATCAGTGATGTTGAGAATTTTTTCTATGTTTGTTGGCCACATAAATGTCTGCTTTTGAGGACTGTCTGTTCATATTTTTTGCCCACTTTTTGATGGGGGTGTTTTTTTTTCCTGTAAATTAGTTTAAATTCCTTTTAGATTCAGGATATCAGACCTTTATCAGATGGGCGGATTGTAAAAATTTTCTCCCATTCTTTAGGTTGCCTGCTCACTCTGATGATCATTTCTTTTGATATGCAGAAGCTGTTTAGTTTAATTATATCCAATTAGTCTATTTGGGTTTTGTTGCAATTGCTTTTGGCATTTTTGTCATGAATTTTGGGCCCATGCCTATGTCCTGAATGGTATTGCCTAGGTTTTCTTCTATGGTTTTCATCATTTGGGGTTTAACATTCATGAAGACATACAAATGGCTAACAAATATATGAAAAAAATATTCAACATCACTAATCACCCAGGAAATATAAATCAAAACCATAATGAGATATTACCTTACCCCAGCTGGAATGGCTGTCAGCAAAATTTTTTTTAAAAAATGAGTAATTCTGGAGAGGACATGGGGGAAAGCAATCTCTTTTATACTGTTGGTGGGAATTTAAATTCATGCAGCCATTACGAAGAACTTGGAGGTTTCTCAAAAGAGTAAAAGTCGAACAACCACATGATCCAGCAATCCAATTACTGGGTATTTATACAAGGGAAAAGAAATCAATATTAGCTACTCTCCCATATCTATTGCAGTGCTATTCACAATAATGAAAGATAGAGAATCAACCTAAGTCTCCATCAAAAAAATGTATAATGCAAACAAATACAACAGAATATTCCTCAGCCATAAAAAATAATATGATCCTGTTAGTTTGCTGCAACACGAATGGAACTGGAGGTCATTATGTTAAGTAAAATAAGCCAGGGACAGAAAGATAAATATCACATGTTCCCTTTCATGTGTCGTAGCTAATAATGTGGACCTCATGGAGATGATGATAGAATGATAGTTACAGAGGCTGAGAAAGTGTGGGGTTGGGGGATGAAGAGAGGTGCTTAATGAGTGCAAACATGCAGTTAGATAGCGGGAAAAAATCAATTGTGTGACTATGGATAACAACAATATATTTCAAAACAACAGAAGAAGATAAAATTTGAAATATCCCAACAGAAAGAAATGATTAGTGTTTGAGGTGATGGATATTTAAAACAATCTGATTTGAACATTATACATTGTATAACTGTATCAAAATATCATATGCACTTCATAAATATGTACAAATATTATGTATTCATAAAGATAACTGAAGTTAAAAATTAAACTATGAAAAATAATGAATGGCCAGAAGGTACGATAAGCAGCAAATACATAAAATTATTTTCTAATAAGAAGTAGCAGGTAAAAGCAGAAAGGAAACAGAGGATGTAGTGGGTGATTTCTCTGTATCCTCAGCCAAGAAATTTTCACTTCTTTTCTATAAATTACACAGAACTAATTACAATTGTTCCACAGCTTATGACATGAAACTATTTCTATTTTTCAAATGTGAATATGATAGCAAAAATAAATGTAAAATGGAAGACATACAAGGAGAAGGGAGAATAAGTTAGAGTCCCACTCTGTTCTCATAGCCAGAACTAAGACAACAGAAATGAATTAGAAAGAGAAAAACATTTGCAGTAATAGTGAAATAGAGGTACAGGTTAAATATAAGAGTAAGGAAAATTAAAGGTCACTATACATTTATTGTTTGGATGCTGATGATGGCATGTTTATGCAAACAGAAGATATAGAAAATTTTAAGGGGTAGTGGTAAATAATAAGTTGATTTTAATTCATCAATATATCAACACATTTATTAGTCATTAGGAAATAAAAAATAAACTCCATACCTAAGTAAGAAGAACCTTTATTCAAAATGACTCTTGCAATAGGGAGAATGGTCTAACCAAGAAACCTCTCCAAGTGTCTCTAAAGTTAGACAAAAGGGTTTTTTAAAATTATTATTATTATTTTATTTTGTTTTATGGAGAGAAGTAAACAGGCTAGAAGGAACCATAAGTGGTGAAGTAGAATGTAAGGATGCAATGAGTGTTTTATTCTGAGAACAACCTATTTCAGGATGGGCTTTTAAGGAGGGGCTGTATTTTGGTTTAGGTTGAGGTGGGTAAAGTGGCCTGGGGAAAAGAGAGAAAATTAACCTAAGTTTGACTAACAAGATTTTTCTCTGACTGATTAGTGGAGACAAGTGCCAGGACTGATCCACAGACCCTGGCCAAACGACGGATGAAAAATGTATGCAGACACAGGTTTTTTTGCCTAGCTGCATGGCTAGGAGACTGGGCCACTCACAGACATCGAAGAGGATGCCGTAAAGAGTCACAGTGGCTGCAGCCCTGACATGCCAGCACTGCAGGCATTTATTTAGTACAGGTTTAATGACAGAGGCTTTGAGTCAACACACTTGTGGGTAATTAAAATGTTCCCCCCACAACCTCCTCCCCTCAGAGAGCAGTCCTACATGCAGATGATTAAAGGTCAGGTTCCCAGGCCTAAGTAAACTAACTTACCTAGATCAATTCCTTTACACTTGCTTGTTATCTACCTTTTGTTCTCAGGCTCCAGATAAGAGAATTTTGTTGCCTTCAGCCAAATTATCTTTGGAAGCTTTTGCAAAACCTCCCAGCCTTCCAAGAAAGTTTGCGTCTTTCTCTATAACTTTTAAAATTTTTCCCACTACCCTGACTGAACTCCTACAGACAAGTAGTTCAGCTAATCATTTATGAGATAAATAATGGAAATTTGGAGGTTCTGTGTCTAGCTTTGTTAGAGGTCAATAAGGTGTCAGTGAGTTTTACCTAAATCTTGTTAAGAAGGATGATTGTTTGCCATAACCTCTTTCCAGAACACAAAGGTATTGGGCTATTAATATTCTGCAGAATAGGCTGCACATAAAGTTTAACATTGTTTGCAGTTACTATGATGCAATCTCTGGGGCCAAAATAAAGAAAGTGAATCTACCTTCCAAAATAGTCTACCTGGGAAGTGAGATTTGTTAATAACTCCCATTATTTAAGGGAAAAGTGTAAGTTATAACGGAGGTAGCAAAAAGGGAAAATATGAGTATGTAAAGAAATATGCATAGTTTACATTTGCAATGATGTAGAAAGATTGTCTAAAGATTTGTCTTTAGAGTGGAACCATTAAAAATGTGCAGCTCATAATCTAGGCAACTGGAAAAAGACCTTCAAGGCAATGTAAATACCCTGTGCTTGGGTGAAAGTTAGGGCTAACTTTAATATGCTAAGATGATAAGGTGAATATAGAGATAACTAAACAACACAGTTAAGAAACATAGACAAGGAGCAGATAAAAAAGGTCTTTACAAAAGATTTGGGTATGTTTCCACAAGCAGTGGACAATAATTTAGATTGTCCATTCACTTGAAAATCCCCCCAGTCGACTCACATTTGCAACATATAAACTTGGTTAGAATTTCACTCATCTTTTCTTTGCTCTGCCTTCTGAAAAAGGAGATATTTTTGCTGTATATAATACAGAAATGTAACTTGGGAAAACAATTTTGCAGGCCTAGGTAACATAAGTCAAATATAGTATTTTCCCTTGATTTCTCTTGATCCCAAATTTCAAGATAAATATTTAGATGCTTCTCATAATTTTCTGTAAAAAGTGTTTCCCTGAACAAGGTTATAGCCACTAGAAGAAGCTCATAAATTTTTGTTCTATATTCTCCAACGATAGTACTTCTAAGAAGAAAAATTACACTTCTAAGGAGGAAAATTGATCAGGCATCAAGAAAATGTCATAATACTAATAAATCTCAGCGCCAAAATAAAAATTTGTTTGCCTATGTACTTTGCCTATAGCTAAGATGAACATTTCAGCAATTTTTGACTCTGTTTTTTGGGCATTTTATTTCACCAACAAAGATTTTAGATGACTTTCCTTAAAAATTCTATTTACCCACCCCACAATTATTGTTCTTGCTGTTATTTGTAGTAACTCGAACAGTCTTCCACCTTCTTCTATTAATCCTTCTGCTTCATTTAAATCTTTTATTCTATAATCCTTCTTGTTGAAAGAAATTATTTTCCTTCTTAGTAATGATGTTTACGGGCTATAGCAATGGTTCTTAGACTTTAATGTAAGACTCTGTTAGAGAACAGAATTAAATGCAAATGCTTATAAATATACACAAAGATTCTGAATCAATAAATTAGTTGTTTTAGGCCAAAGAATGTCTGTTTAACAAGCATTGAAGATAATCCAAATATGGTGATTCTCATAGATAATTATTTTATGATGGGAAAAATATGCTGAAAATCAGCTAGTTCAGAAATTTACGTATTAGAATTTGAGGTTGAAAACTAGTCAGGTAACAGATGCTGATATTGCTTATTTCTTTTTGTATATTTTGCCTATAGTAATCACATACAGGGTGCTATGTTTTAGGGAATAATTTGAGTAATCTTTTTCTTCTAACTAAATACTATTACAATACCATCAGATTGTCAGTATGTCTATGACTAAATTGTTATTGCTATGGTTGATCATTTGTTCACTGCCAGAACCCAGGAAACTGACATGTGGGAGTCAAGGGCCCATATGAAATGACATTGGATCATGCAAGGAAGATATCCTTTGTTGAAATGACATTATTATTGTCATTAGGCACTCTACATTTAGCAACATGGCATCAAATCCATTTGTCAAAGTCAATATATGTAAGACAAATATTAATAGCTTGTGTGTTTTTTATTATTGTCGATCTCTAGGTTTGTTTTTCTTTTACTGTTTTTTAAATCACCAGTGGCTACCACAGTGAGTATCACCGAATAGGTATTCTGTAAGTATTTGTGACTAAAACAGTAAATAAATTATTAAGTGGCATACTTCATTTACTGAGTTGAATTAGAATAAACATCTAAAGTGAAATGACATTAAAAATACTTTTTATTGTTGATGACAGGTGGGAATACTCACCACGATACTAACAAGAAGAGCTTCATTTTTTTCTGTTTGTGTGGGGTTTAATAGTGTTTCCTAAAATTTTTTTTTTCCCTGGAAATCTTTGAATGTGATCTTATGTGGAAATAAGGTTTTTGCAGATGTAATCAAGTTAGGATGACACTCTACTTGGTTAGGGTGGGCCCTAAATCCAGTATGACTGGCATCCTTAGAGAAATTTGGACATACACACATTGGCACACACACATACACAGAGAGATTGAGGAGGGAATGTGAAAATGAAGGTATATTGGAGAGATGAAACTACAAACCAAGGAGCACCAAGCATTACTGGAAGCCACCAGAAGCTAGGAGAGAAGAACAAAACAAATTATTCCCTCAAATCTCAGAGAGTATAGCTTGTGTCAATAGCTTGATTTAGGATTTCTGGCTTCCACAAGCATGAGAGAATACGTTTTTTGTTGTTTGAAGTCACCCTATTGATTTTTTTGTTATAGCAGTATTAGGAAACTAATATGATGACCAACCATCTTAGAAAAGTAAACATAAAGCAATGATTACATTTTTAATTCAATTTTCTGTGTATGTTATTAAGTAAATTTGCACCTTAAAATAATATTTCTGTATGCTATTCTTTTAATCTTCATCTCTACTTCTTAAAAATCTTTGTCATATAAAATATCCTCACATATTGTATTATGCCTGAATAGGTATACCTCATATAAATACTGTTTTAGCATCATATAGAAAATATTTTATTTATAATTTGAGAAATAATATCTGCCATGTGTACATAGAACACTGAGTTCTACTCTTAGAACCTTACATTTGAAAAAAAAATACCAATGAATAAATATGAACTAGCTATAGTCTTAAGAGGGAAGAAGTTGATCGATCCTAAGTTTTGTAAAAATATCAGACCATCACCAATGAGAGACTGGTATAGAAAACAGATCATTAACAACCTCAACAAATGGCTTAATCTTCTTTATGCCTATATGCCATTTCTTCACAGTTTTAATTGTAAGAATGTTGAAATTGCTCACTAGAAAATAAAGCCACAGTTCAATAGAGTTCAAAAGAGAAAAGTTCATGATTTATAGTTGGTATGAGATTAGACTAAGCATTTGTCTAAAATGGTTCTTGCAGTGCACACTAGGTGCCAATGGCAGTACACTTTATATTAATTTTAACTATTTGTTCAAAGCCAGTTATTTTGAACCTCTTGATGCTAGAGCCCCTTTGTGGGATTTGCAATAGCATACAATAACTCACGATGCATTGTATCCACATGGCTTTCTACTTAAGGATTAATTGCTAACATTTTGCCTTGTCCATATGTACATTATGCTCTAAACATAAGGATATTTTATAATTAAGGAAAATTGCCAGTACCCTGGCCAGCAGAATAAATGCAAACTTGTGTTAGCAATACTATAAGCCCTGTGTTTGCGTAGGAAATTACAAGTGTCCTAAAACTCAATGTCAAGTTTTATTCATACAGTAATGATTCTTCAGAGCTAATGCTTATTCAAGGAGAGCCTAACAGTGTGAGTGTAACGGGCAATAAGATTATAGCTTTGTCACTTCAAGGAACCTTTCCGTATATGTGATAAAAATATTATTCAATTACTTTTGAAATAAAGTAGCTAATAATTCAAAGTTTCTGATTTATTATGCTTGCTAGCTAGTCTTTTCTTCCCAGATATCTGAGAAAAGAGGGAATTAAAGCAGGAAAAATGCAAAAGCAAGAATGATATTAGCTAAGTTATATTTCCCTCAAAATTATTTCTTTAAAAATTATTAATTTTTATCGACGTATCATTTGTACATAGTGCCACAAACAGATCTTAAATATAAAAATCTATGTAAGGGTTTAAAAAGTCATATATTCACGTATCCCACACTCTTAACAAAATAAAGTAGCTTTGAACATTTATATATCTCTGTGCCTCTGTGTGTGCATCTGATTCAATTTATCTTGGGAAATAATTACACATAGAATTTCTGATTCATAGGGTTGTGTAAATTTATGTGACAAAGAATGTCAGAGTAATATTTAAAGTATTTGTACAATTTTACACTCTTATTAGCAATTAATGATATTTCTATATCCTCTACATTCTTACAATAATTTTTTGTCATTTTGCTTTTTTTAACAAATTTTAACCATTATGGTCACTGTAGAGTGGCATATCATTGTGGCTTAAATTGGTATTTCCTTAATGACTAATGATAAATCACTTTTTGATGTACATGGAGTAAATTCGTTATTGTCTCATAGTAATATGTGACATGAAATATGTGACATGACCCATCTTTTTTGCATATCACAGATCTTTATTATGAGCAGTATATTATTGAGCCTTGCTTTTTAGAAAACAAATACAATCCAAAATTTGTTTTTTTAATTGTGGTGTACTATTAAATTACATTTAACATAGTTATTGATATGATTATATTTAAGTCTAATTTTGTTGTTTTCTATTTGTCTATTCTGTCCTTGGTGACTTTTCTCTCTTCCTCCTCTGTTTTTGATACATTGATTATTTTTTGTATTTTATATTTCCCCTACTCGTTAGATATTTATTTAGGTTTTAAATTTTCCATAGTTTCTCTAATGTTTACAGTTAGCATCTTTAATTTATCGGTCTACCTTAAAATCATATTTTACCTTGTCATATTTGTTGTAAGAATTTTAAAATTTTATCTTATCTCTCACCCTTTGTGCTAGTATCATTGTACCCTTTACTTTTACATATGTTATAAACTCTGCAATACACTGCCATAATGTTTGATTTACATATTTCATTATCTTCAAATAAATTAAGAAACTGGACACAGTATATATATATTTTACATATTTTCCAATTTTTTTGTCTATATTTTTCATATATTTTCCAATGTTTTGAATTTTTCTATAGGCCCAAATTTGTGTAGAATACATTTTCTGTCACCTGAATGACTTTTTTAAGAAAATTTTTTTATTATAGCAAAAGCAGATAACATGAGATCTATCAGCTTAACAAGTTTTCTAGTGCACACTGTAACAATAGCATTGTTAACTATAAGCATAGTATTGCACAAAGGTCTCTGGAACTCATTAATCTTGCAGTACTGAAACTTCACACTCATTGAAAAATAACTCCCCATATTCGTCTGTCTCCAGTCCCTAAAAACCACCATTTGTCTTTAGACTTCTATGAGTTGGACTATTTTAGATACATTGTATGAGTGGAATCATGCAGTATTGGTCCTTCTGTGACTGGCTTGATTTACTTAGCATAATGTTCCCAAGATTCATCCATGCTGTCACATACAGCAGGATTTCATGTTTTTATGCCTAAATAATATTCCGTTGTATATATACACATTTTTATTATCCGTTTTTTTCTGCTTAGACATTTGGGTTGAGCTCACATCAGGCTATGGTGATAACAGTGCAGTGAACATGGAAGTGCAGAAACCTTTTTGCGATCCGGATTTTAATTATTTTGGATAAATACATAGATGTGTTACTGCTGGGCCAAGCGCAGTGGCTCACACCTGTAATCCCAGTACTTTGGAGGCCAAGGTGGGCGGATCTCGAGGTCAAGAGTTCGATACCAGCCTGGCCAACATGGTGAAACCCTGTCTCTACGAAAACTACAAAACTTAGCCGGGCATGGTGGCTGGCACCTGTTGTCCCAACTACTTGGGAGGCTGAGGCAGGAGAATTGCTTGAATTGGAAAGGTGGAGGTTGCAGTGAGCTGAGATCATGCCACTGCATTCCAACCTGGGCGACAGAGTGAGACTCTATCTCAAAAAAAAAAAAAAAAAAAAGTAGGTACATTGGTTGTGCATATTAACCCTCGCTGTTTATATAAATCAAGTTTATTCTCCAAATAATTCTTTTCTAATTATAATAAAAGATAACTATACAGATTTTAATTTTGGGAAGAGCATATTGAAGGCAGCATTAGAGATGTAGAGAAGACAGATGGCATTAATAATAAACAGAAAATGTACCAGGCATGTAATTATTTCCAGGTGCCTGGTATATTATTTAATCCTCATAGTAGCTGAAGTAGGTATTATTATTGTCTCTGTATTTTACAGAGACATAAATAATACAATTATTGCTCTGTATTTCATAACTTGAGGTATGCAAATGCATTAGGTCCCAGAAGACAGAAACCATGTCTTTATTTTTCAGAGGTGTATTTCTATCATCTGGCATGGGATCTGTGTATCCAATTAATGGTTTTTGAATGACCGAAGTTCACAAAATGCATTCCTTGAACTTTTTATTGTGTTAGACATTAAGACAAATGTTTCCTCTAGAAAAAAGATTACTGTTTTCAAGTGAGGAAATTGAGGACTAGAGAATTTGAATTTTACTATTAATCGCACAATTAGTAAGTGACACAGTCAGAACTAAAATGAAGTTTGGCATGACTCCAATTTTGTAGCCATTGTCACCGTGGGAAATATTAGCATATGTAGCTTTAGCTTGTAAATGATCAGACAGAGATTAGAAATTGTCTTATATGCACAATTTATGTAGCTGTTAAGGAAGAAACAGAAAAATGTTTTAAAATATTTACAAAATATTTTCTAGAAACACAAATTTAAGAGCTGAATACTTTACTCTGAGGTGTCTGAATTAAAATAAAATTCTACACGAAGCATAGCAGGACGAGTGCACCAAAAGAAATTCTAGGACTAAATGTCACCTTCCTTTTATAAATTCCCCAACCCATTTATGTCACCACTCTACTTTCTGTTGTCTTTCACATCAGCTTTGAAAAACAGCAGCTGAGACACTTCAGAATGAGAGGAATGTGCCTCAAACATACAGATGCAGTTTTTTCTCTTTTAGGCCATACCTTCTGCCTGAAAATGACAAGTTGGCTTCATTTAAATATTTAGTGTTTCCTTTTTCTATTTATACCTAGAAACTTTTCATTCATGAACATTCTTCAGAATGCAGATTCTAAAAGTTGAAAGCCTATGTGGCATGTATAGTTTGCATTATCTTTCTGATATATGAATATATTTACTTGAAAAGGGTTTTAAAAAATAATTCGATATTAGTTACTGACTTATTAATTTTATAACCATAAAATTATTCAACGGAGATGCCCCAAAATTTATACATAGTTCACCTATAGATTTAATAGCATATTCAAATCTTGAAATCTTGACTATTATAAAAATAAAGACTGTCATGATTATTCACTAATTTATTTATTACCAATTTTTTTTACATATTAAGGTCAGTAGAAAAATGATTACAACTCAGATTACTTTCATTTTTTCTTATATATTATATATGACAGAAATATATATATATATACATATACACGATAGAAATATACACATACATATATATGTATGTATGTGTGTACATATGAGATAGATAGATACACAAATCTAACTGGTAATTCTAATAAAACTGCTTGTGTAAACTCTATTTCTTTAAAGAGTGAATGAAAGAAGTCTTGCCCATGCTAATCATACCTCTTACTTTGCGTAAGATGCTTTTTGTAAAGGTGAATGATAATCTTTCAAACTGTTTACTATATTTCCCATCACAAACATGTATTTGTATAAAAAGTAATACAGGCTCATGTTATAAGATTAAATATTAAAGAACTACACAGTGGAGAAAATAAATGTCTTTTACCTCAAAATTGAAAATCATTAACTATCAGTGATTCTGCATATATTTTTTATTTTTCTTTTCATTACACATATGCCATTGCCTAATATTCTTAATATTTTAATTTGAGATTCTCAGAAACTCACTGTTCTTTGATAATCCACTATACCTATCAATCATTGCACATGTTTTCCATTTACTTTAACCAACAACACTAAATTAACCTGAAACTCACTAGATAGAATATTAACATGATATAAGGGAGTTAGTTGTACAGGGTGGAGGAGATATCTATAATACAAAGACAACATTGCAGGCCCTGTAGAAAAATTTACATGATAATAAGCATGCAAGGTATTTGTAGTGTCTCTATTTATGTGCCCTGGTAATTGAAATCCAGAATAATTGGTAACTAGCCAAACTCTTTCCATTGTGTCAAATATGTATGAACTCTTTCATGTAGCCTGCTGGAAGGTGCAATAGTATATGGAAATTGAGTACTTGGAACAATGTATTCATGTTTAGAGAGAAGGTAGCAATAAGTCAAGTGAGGTTTTCATGTCGGAATAATTTTAGATTTAGAGAAACTTGATAAACCTCTGCAATAATTTAATAACCACTTATTCATCACCTACAATGTATGACTTTTTTTCACTAATTTTGTCATAAAATAAGAAAAACAAAATGTTTGCAATCACAAATATTGTTGGACCATAAAGAAGGCTGATACACAATTATTAAAATATATACCTGTGATGGTTAATTTTATGTGTCAACTTGGAAGATGTTTTTGGATGAGGTTAACATTTTATTTGTGAAACTCAAGTCAGAGTCAGCAGATTTCCCTGCATGATATCACTGGGCCTTATGCAATCAATTGAAGGCCTGAACACAACTAAAATACCACCCTCCCAAGCTAGGAATTCTCCAGCAAATTGCTGTTAGACTTTATCTGCACTTTTAGATTGTCCTGTGTCTCTGCCTGCCTGCCTTTGGACTGGGAGTGTGCCACCTGGTCTCCTGGGTATTGAGCATGCCAGCCCACACTGCAGATTTTAGATTTGCAGCCTCCATAATCAAATGAGCCAATTCCTATAACAAGTCTCTCCTCTCTCTCGATATCCTGTTGTTTCTGTTTCTCTGGAGCACTCTGACTAATACAATAACAAATACAGAGTTAGAGATGTAGATATGTAAGAGAGTCCAAGAGAATGACACCTGATGAATGAGTCATCAGATGTAGACATGTAAGAGAATCAGTGAAGTGACACCTGATGTGGATTAAATAATGATAGAAATTCAACCAGCTAGGGTAGGGAGGAAGAATATTTTGGGAAGAAAGAGAGAAAGCGAAGACCAAATGAAGCTCTGTATAATGGCAAATTTGTATTTTCCAACATAATAAATAAATGAATGAGTATTGCAGAAAACAACGTTTGTCTGAAAACTATACAAAATCTACTGTACAGGTTCCTAACGTGTCAGCTAAGGGACAAAAAAGATGAGTTTACTAATATTGGCAGGATGCAAATCACTGGGCCAGATCCAAGTCACTGAGAGACCTCTATGTCTTGTTAGAGAAGCTATTTTTTTTTTTTGTTAATCTTAGAACTGATGGCTAGTATTTCGTGCCTATCTTCTCATTTCAAGGATATCTTCTCATGATCATGTATCTCTCATGGTACCAGACTGGAGAAGGACAAAGGAATTACAATGCAAGAAATGCTGGTGGTCTGAATGAGTGAAGGATATTGCAGGGGAAAGGATGGAGGCAAAGATAAATGACAAACCCTAACTTGTGAAATAAGGTATATGGTAATGACATTACCGAAATAAAGGATTCTGTACCAGACACTTTAATTGGAAGAATTAAAATATCCCAGACAGAAATGACAACAAGAAGTTGGATGTAAGAGTAAATGACTAAGACCTGGACTGTTTATGCAAAAAAAAAAAAAAAAAAAAAAAAAAAAATATATATATATATATATGTAAATATGAGAGTCTAAAGCATTTCTATGGTTATTACATTGTCTATGAAATTTTTGGTACAACAATGGGGAAAAAAACAAGTTGAAGACAACAGCTTCTAAGTAAGCTAGGGAATGATTGGAGTCTAATATGTTCAGTGATCAAGCACACAAGCATGTCAGACATTTTTGGAAGAAAACAGCCTTCATTTTCCTGCTTTGTCCTGATTGATCAGTCAACATGTCTATTTTCAGAAAGCCAGGGGTAATAACTAACATCAAGGCCCTGTTCAGGGAGAGGACCATGCCATTGTGTGTGGAGTCCTGGTTAAGAAAATGGCTGTAAGTAGATTTTCACTGGGACCATCTAACATAATTTTTGTGACGTGATTGTTAGGACTTTAATTACGACAAGGGATGCCTGGAGGTTGGAGCAATTGGGTTAAATAAAGGTGAATATACATAAATCTTAAAACCACTTCAGGTCAGATGAATATGGAATGAATATAAAGATATACAATTGTTTATTTTAGTAGCTCTTTACTTATTTCTATAAAAATTATTTAGATCCAAACATACCCTTTACTATATCCAAGGAAAACATAAGGATGTGATTGTAAGAAAAGGGGGCCACACAGAAACAACCTAATTTAAATCTTTCAGTTACCCATGTTTGACTATGTTCTGCTCTGCATACCAAATGCCTCTTGGCTTTAGTGTTAAAGCTAGGCTAAAGGATTGCTTTGGCAGCCCATCATTGTCTTTGTGTAATCAGGCACTTAGCAACCCTGACACTGGATGCTGGCATCCTTTGTTTGGAAACAGCAGTTGATTTCACAATGAACTAGTTGATTGCTAATTTAGTGCACTAATGTGAAGAAGCAGGGGGCCCCCATACTGCACCTTAATCCAGATGTCAGTTTACTACCAAGATAATATGTTGTTTAAAGATTTTCACTCACACTTGGTTCTATACAGATTTTTTTTTTTAGTGTGCATTTCTAGGCTCTGGCTCTTTTCTTACTTTTCTCAATAGCAATAATGAATGGTCATTATTGCATTTACAGAGCTTCCCTTAAGTTATACAAAGTTTAGAAAAATGAGCATATTTCTTATTAATGGCAATTAATGAAATTAATACTAGTAATTAACAATTCTCTTATAACAAGACTTAAAGAGCCATATATTCTAAAAAGTTTATCATTTAAAAATATCAAATATCTGTTTTTGATTAACATTTGGTAATTTGTCAAAATATAGCATACATATTCAGCAAAATTTCATATATTAAGAAGTATTTTCATTACAGCAATATTTAAAATTGTTATATAAGATATTTATTATGATAACAGCTACATATTCTTTTTCACAGATCAGTGAAAACTAAGTGTAATTTTTTTTTTTTTTTTTGAGACGGAGTTTTGCTCTTGTTGCCCAGGCTGGAGTGCAGTGGCGCGATCTCAGCTCACCGTATTCTCTGCCCCCCAGGTTCAAGCGATTCCCCTGCCTCAGCCTCCCGAGTAGTTGGGATTACAGGCATGATCCACGATGGCCGGCTAATATGGTATTTTTAGTAGAGACGGGGTTTCTCCATGTTGGTCAGGCTGGTCTCCAACTCCCGACCTCAGGTGGTCCACCCGCCTCGGCCTTCCAAAGTGCTGAGGTTACAGGCATGAGCCACAGCGCCCAGCCATGTAATCTTAAATAAACTTTCTAAAAAACAAATATTAAAGATAATACAGTCCCTGAATATATTATGTATAAGTAAGTCATGAAGTTGTAATCATTACTTGACAGATTTTTAAGAAAATAATATGTTTTAACCCTAAAGATACAACATGGATCCGAGTGCCAAATGATATGTTTAAAATAAGTACACAATTAAAAGATTTTGAATTAGTATTTAAAAATAAAATGCATAAATAATAAATAACATGTAACAAATAAAGAAATTTTAGAAGTAAGAACACTGACATTACCTTTTACGACTATATATTCAAACTCTATATTTCAAACCGCTTTTGATGTATCCCCTGGAATATCTTTGTAGATGATAGCAATGCTTTTATTAGCTTCACTAATTTCTTCTCTTAAAATTTGCTGCCTGAATTCCAACATAAGGTGATGATGGTGATGATGTTTGTGGCCACATGTAATCTCTAATTAAATGCATTTATTATTTACATAGACCATCTACTGGATTGCAAATGTGTGTTAAAAGCAATACATACTTCACATGGAACTTCCATCACTAAAGTCACAGTATACTACTCTATTAAAATTATGTACAATGTTTAAAACACAACTTAAATGGTCTTACCTTTATGTCCCCAAAGTATTTGGGTTTTTTTTTTTTTTTGGTTGCTGTTTTTGTTTTTTAAAAGGCTACCCTTTTATTTTTATTTTTATCATTATATTTTTCAACACTTATTTTGGATTCAGAGAGTATATGTGCAAGTTTGTTACATGGGCATATTATACTGCTGACGTTTGGAGTACAAATGATCCCATCACCCAGGTAGTGAGCATACTACCCAATAGATAGCTTTTCAGTCCAAGAACCCCTCTCTTCCTCCCCACTCTAGGAGTCCCCAGTGACTTTTTTTCTCATTTGTATGTCCCTCGGTGTATTAGTCCATTCTTACGCTGCTGATAAAGACATACCCAAGACTGGATAAATTATACAGGAAAGATTTTAATTGGACTTACACTTCCACGTGGCTGGAGAGGCCTCACAATCACGGCAGAAGGCGAAAGGCACATCTTACAACACAGTAGGCAAGAGAGAGAATGAGAACCAAGTGAAACGGGTTTCCTCTTATCAAACCGTTAGATCTCGTGAGACTTATTCACTACCACGAGAATAGTATGGCAGAATGTGCCCCCATGATTCAATGATCTCCCACTGGGTCCCTCCCATAACACATGGGAATTACAGAAGTACAATTCAAGATGCGATTTGAGTGGAGACACAGAACAAAACCATATCAATGAGGAACAAAATCATATCAATGAGTAACCAATGTTTAACTCCCACTTATAAGTGAGAACATGCCGTGCTTGGTTTGCCGTATCTGTGTTAATTCACTTAGGATAATGGCCTCTGGCTGCGTCCATGTTGCTACAAATAACATGATTTTGTTCTTTATTATGGTTGCATAGTAATCCATGGTGTATATGTACCACATTTTCTTCATCCAATCCACCATTGATGTACACCTAGCTTAATTCCATTTATTTTATAATATCTGAAACATGTGTTTAGGTTTCTGAGTTTTCATTATGAATGTGAATGGCAGTGTTTTCTTTTAAATCTCCAAAACTATATTTCACATTGTAACTGCTCAGAATATATTTTTGAATATGTAAAGACACTTGCTATTTATTCCCATCCATTTTCAGTTTTTCTTATTCTTTTTAATCCTTGGAATTTTTTTGGTAATCTATTTGTCTTTGAAATATAGTCCTTACTACAAATCAAAATAGAAGTCACACATTCAATTGCAACTGAGCCCCATGTCATTTTGCAATTCTTTTTGATTTTGGGGTATTACACTCTTAATATTGCATGTGTTTCCATATAATCCGAAATTGGTGGAAGCCTAATAATACAAATATATTTTTCCTTCTATCACAACTCTATTTAATACTTAAGTCCCTAAATTTTGTTTAAATATGTATTAATCATAATGCAACTCACTGATTTCTTTTTCCTTCAGTTAAAAAAATTATTTCAAGAAATCTCTTTACTGTGTTTGCTAAGCTCACAACATGTCATATATAAATGTTTACAGTATGATATTGCTTAAATTGAAACATCAGATCAGCTAATTACAGTAATTTTGAATATGAAAACAGTATAGATAGCCAAGCTGGACACAGTTAAACAGATTAAATAAATAATAAAAATGATTCATTTAAAATAAGAGAATTTATTTAAAATGAAATGAATATACTTCAACACATACTGTGAGGGTTAATTTTATATAAACATTGAAGGTGCTCTTGGATAAGATTAACATTTACAGAGGTAAATTTTGGGTAAAACAGATTACTCTCCAAAATGTTGGTGGCCCTCATCAGTTGAAGGCCTCACTAGAACAAAATGTCAGCCTCCCGGAGCAATAAAGAATTCTCCAGTCGGCTACCTGCAGGCTTCCTCACGCTATTTGCTCTCGCTGGTCTCTGCTTACTGGTCTTCAGGCTGGAACTGCACATTGCACTCCTTATCTCTTAAGCCTGCTGACCCACGCTACAGATTTTGACTCGCCATCCTCCGTATCATGTGAGCCATTTCCTTATTTTACACATACACAGACACACACCCACACATACCCACATGCATGTATCCTATTGGTCTGTTTCTCTGGATATTTCAGACTAATAGAGACCCCTTATTCATTTTGCTACCCAGTTTAAATTAATATTGAAATTCTTAGTAAATTTATTTAGTGGTTTTGCAGTCATTTAGGTGGGCAGGTATGAAACTCATCTCTGCCCTGCATATACAATTTCAATATACTTATAATGAATAAGAGCATTGGCAAAAGCTTTTATTTATAAAGATTGCCACATTTAAGTTCTTGGATCACAGCCGATTTCTGAGCAATGAGGCGATGCACATTGTAACAGAGCTGCTGGGGAAGAAACCCACAGAAGACAGATGACAGCAGGATGACAGCTGCGATATGGTGAGGTGAGGAGGGAAAACCACCAGCACGCAGCAGGCAGGAGAAACGCAGCAAGTGCTCAGTGAGGCACAGCTTCCCACCACATGACACAGCAATGGAATGTGGAGAAACAGCAGTGGACAAAGTGTCTTAGGCAACAGTAATTATAAATGGTGACTCATGTGGTTACAGTAAAGGCATCAGTTACCCCATGGGGAGAAGAGACCTGACACCGTATAAAAACATCAGCTCTCAGCAAATGAAGTTTTGACGTTTATGAGGTGTGTAAAGAAAATCAGTTGTCCTTGAAGCACATTTATACAAAGGAACCAACATAAGTGTTTTTTTTGTTTGTTTGTTTGTTTGTTTTAGTGAAGGTCAATGTAGCAGAAACAAATATCTGTTACTTAGGTGGAACAAGCATTTTTAGTAATAGTTTTTATATAAACAAAATTAGGAGATATTCATTTTGCAAATGTAATAGTGGGAAAAATTACTTAAACAAAAAATTCTACTTTAATCACATGAGCTCTACAAGATACTTAATGTTATTACATTCTTAAATAATTTTCAACCATTTCTCCCATTTTTCCTGGCTTATTTGACTTAAATGCTAATATATATATATGAATATATATGAACTCTATGTTATTGACTTAAATGTTCATATAAACTAATGTATTATAAATGTTTGTATAAAATAATTTACTATTATTAATTCTTTTAGTCTCTTAGAGACATGAGACTTGCTAAGTGACAAGGATATTTCAGATTGAAAATATCCTAAAAGCATATTCTTTTTAGCTCACTTAGTTTAGTCCAATAAAAGGTTCAAGAGTATTTTCCCAACACCATTTGCTGGTAAAAACATGGTTTAGGTCTGTTTGTGACAATCCCAATTTAGAAAATTTAAAATAAAATGTAATTGAAATTTATTTTCTGTGTTTTGTTTAACAGGAAACATTGAGATTCCAAAGTTTAGTATATTTTCTCACATTCTTAAACTTGCCATAGGTTACACTGAAAAAAGTACCATAGTTTTGCACGCTCTCTAACTCTTCTTTTTCTTCCCAGCATACCATTACCCATTTTCCTCCTTATTCCAAACTCATATACAATTTGTTTGCTCAAAACATGTTTGTGTACTTAACAATAATTAAAACATGAGAAATTGAAGGCTAAAGGGTAAGTAAAATTATGGCTTTAATCCATGTTGGATTTATAACATTGTGGAGAAAATGTAGATATAAATGACTTTAACAACAGGAACATGTTATGGTACGAAGACTTTTGTTAAGAGTTGTAAAAAATACATAAACAGCATTTCTATTTGAGATTCTTAGTAAAGGATATATAAAAAAATTATCAGTTGCCTCAAGACATAAGAATGGGTAGAATCTTGACAGGAAATGAATCCAATGGGTATTTGCCTCTATCCATCTTACATATGAGAAAATATTAATTTGACAAAAACTGTCTTGATGATTGTTTTACATTTTGGAAATATACTTTTAGAAAATTCCTGGTGTAGAAGTTGAAATAATGAGAGCATGCAGTCAGCAGGATATACAGTCATTCACTGTGGTGGAAGAAAAGGAAGCTTGTGGGTTTGAACCTGACTAGGGGTGAATGCTATGTGTAAATAGTAACTTTGTGTATTATTTATTTGCCTATTACTATATCACATTTAACTTATTTATAAACTTTCTTCCTTTATTTGCCATCTTTTTTCCCTATTTCTAATGTGAGATATAATTGATTTAACTGATAACTCCTACTTTAAAATTAAAGGTTCTCCATCTGCCAACATTTTTATATAGAACAAAATATACATAAATATAGTTATTTGTCAGAAATTAACTATATATAATATTTTGTAGTTCCAGTAATATATGCTTTCCAAACATATTAAGTATAACAAAAATTACGTTTAAAAAATAAGGTTGATCAGTAGAAAAAATAAGTATGTTGTGCTCTCTTACCTCGCAAGATCCCAGACAACCTCTTTCATTTGTAATGGATTGCTGATTTATCCACTTCTCCTTATAACTGGATAGATTAGCATGAATCAATTTGTGATAAACAAAATGAAATGGAATCTTGCTGTTTCAAGTAAGGCCAGTAAGAAGGTAGTAGCATCCTGCTGTCAAAGGGAATATACTTTTTTTGTGTCTTCAAAGAGTCATGAGTATCTAGGAGCCCAGTTTGGCAGTGACAAAAGAGCCATATTGCCATATTCTTCACTTGGCTTTTGGAGAAAATTACATGATTTTGAGTGATACTGGGGGAAAGAAAAGTATATCAGTCACTTCTCTGGCCTCTTGGTATTTTCTTTTTCAGACCTCGTAAAAATTATGGTGTGTGTGTGTGTGTGTGTGTGTGTGTGTGTGTGTGTGTGTCCTAATAAAATGTTACAGCATCGTGGCCAAATACTGGGTACTCTGCTTATACTTTGTAAATATATATATTTAATATCTCTGTTTCAGGTAGATTTGCCCTCAATGTGCTTAAAGAAAGTGGTAATTTTTTATTTAGTTTTCTTTAAGAATAGTAAATTGAGTTTTTATCTTATCTAAACAGTAAATTTTCATGAAATTTCTCCCTGAGATAATTTGCAAAGGATGATATAGGAGAATCTAACCAACTAACCCTATATTTAATGATCATAGTTTAGTGATATATAATTAAACATTAAAATTGTTCGAAAACATACAAGATGTCTTAGAATAAAAACTTGAATCTGTTAGTCTGAAAAACTCTAATTAAATTAATATTGTGTATTATACTGCCATTATACATGTACAATTTGAACTGTTAACATAGTTCTACTTGAGTAAAGTAAAAATTATGAATATGTTTATAAAACATCCCAAAATACGTTCATATATTGAATGTAAATTTTATTTTAGATATAAAAATTATATATTAATTGTAATAGTCTTTAATATTATCCGAAGGCGGAAATATATTTCTTGACTTTTATTTGAATGCCACACATTAATTTATAAAGGTTTTATTTACTACTTTTGACTGAGCACCATCAAGAAAAATTGCAGTTATTACCTGACATTTTAAATAATTTCAGGCTTGCAGAAGTTATTTTAACACTTCAAAGGTATAACCCATTGAAATTTAATAATAGTATCAATAAGAAATTTAATGATAGTGTCAGGAAGCAGGGCACAACATCAAAAAAAAATGGTTGTATCAAAAAGAGTAAATTTTATAAGTTTTTTCCAGGGTATATAGAAAATGAAAACATGTATAATATAGAAATGGAAAGATAGAATTGATGACAAGCTGGTAATGTTGAAATTTTATTGTTTTGATTCAAGATGCATAAGAAATTGTTTACTGAAAAACAATGCAAAGCATTATACAAATGTAAACAAGAATTTTGCAGGTGCTTTTTTTATAAGGAAATATAATAAATAACATAAACATTATTTTCTTGTTAGTGAATGATGTCCATGTCTCTTTTCCCATTTATTCAGTGTACATGTAAGATGAACAAGATAAAATTCTCAGAGAAGAATTTACAAAGGAAACATAATGAGATATTAAATCACTGGAAATAGCTGCAGCGCTTGTAAGTGTTTTGTTACTGAAGAGAAAAACAGATTATTAAGGAAATGGTCCAGAAATAGAAACTATTTTCTCTAAGGAGTTGTTACACAAAAAATGGATGAATCATAGCTCAACATAAAAATAAACCAATTTTTACACGGTAGTTTTGTGAATAAAATAACTAAATTTAGACCTGCAAAATGTAGAACAAAACATTTTTCTCATTTGAAAAAAACATATTTGGAAATCAAAACATAGATACCATGGGAATATTAATAAGAATATTTATAAAAATGAATGGGAATAATATTTATCATTTTCATGATAAAATACAATATGTGCAAACAAAGAACAGAGATTTATAACTACTAAAAGATAAACTTGCCAATTTAAAAATGTCAAAAATATATAAAAATACATTTTGAAATATTTTGGAAGAACTGGATAAATTAAATATGTTCATTGTATTATATTTAATTTTGTGTGAGGAAATTGAGATATCCATACAAATGAACACAATGTTTGAAGAGACAATTCACAAAACATTTATAGAAATATATGACAATGTGGGAAACTTTAACATTGCTAGTACTTAAGGTTAATATCAACAATAAAATGTCACTTCAGAAACTAAATTAGTATTTTTTAAATTAAATTTGAGGAAGTTGTGATGGAATATCTATAGCCATCTCTAAAGGAAGGATGCTATGGCATAAGATTCTAAAATATTCATAGTCTGATGTGGTTTTCTACTTCAAAACAATATGCTTTCAAGAAATAGTCTTGAATGTAAAAAATGCTATAGCATATAGTATAGCAATCTATACACAAAAATGATTCTGATATTTAATTTACAAGGAAAAGAATTGAAGATTAAATACTTTAACAGAAAAAGATTAAATAAAAGTGATTTTCTCTTCCTTCTAATTTGCAAGTGCTATAGTAAAATTTGAGTTTTAATAATGTTTTCTGATATTATATTTTTAATAACCCAGTAAGTGAAATAAATATGTGATTAAAACCATAAAAAATTACCTTAAATATATAGTTTCAAATTTCAATACTTAAGATTGACTTATCACCAGCTTCTCCCTTATTTCTGACAAGATAAAAATAGGGGGAAATGGTTTAACAAAGCCACCACTGCACTAATTTGGTTAATATATTTGTAACTGTGAAGAATTAAAACATGTTAGTCAGCCCAGTACACTTTAGGGGGTCACAGAGAAACTTTAGCGCAGTGGGAACTTAGCTGTGTGGAATTACAGATGACTACACAATCCAGCAAATACGAAATTTCTGAAAATACATCATCCCTTCCTCAAAAGTGAGGAAATGAAAACAGAGGACAACCCCTCAAGTAGCACAGTGTAGTGTATAGGTTGTCCAAAAGAACAGAATTAATTGTTACCTCTTTGAGATTGGGAAATGACATACAGAATGATCCTACAGACAATAATGACCAAAACCCTCCATTGAGGCAATGAGTTCTTTATTCTTTGATATGAAACTCAAGAAATGAAAAAATAGTAATAATGAGGAGAGCCATAACCTGAGACTTCCTGCTCAGCCCCTTCATATTATCAGGCAAGTTTTATGAGTGTGGAGAAAAATATTATCCAGAAAAATAATGCACTCACAGAATAAATACATGTACAACAACAATATATATAAAATAACAACAAAAAAGAGAAGTAAATAATGGCAAGTGTGGTAACCTATGTAAATTACAGCAGAATTTTTTGACAAAAGGGATAAGGAATGTTAACTAAGTTTTGTAAATATTCTCAAAATCATAAGTGTACAAGAATAGTAAGCCATACTAAATAATTAAAAGAGGGATCCATTTGAAATACTGGGTTTTAAACATATAATGGTTGAAAAACAAAGAACTTGGTGTTCAGTTGATAAAGTTGGGTGGCTATAGCTAAAGGACAGGTAGTTTCTTTGTACACCATGATGTCTTTCTGGATCTATTTATCTTCTTGATAGAGTTTGTTTTGCAATCATGTGTTTAACAGTGAACTGAAAGACAGTCAAAATCCCTCCCAAAAGAAAAGCATGATCAGAAAACGTTTAAAAATGCTTAACACAGTTCACAGGAATGACTGTGATATGTGGACCTGTCAACATTCATGAACATGCACTTTCAGGTGGAGGAGAAAAATCAAAAGAATAAATAAATTTGAATAAATAATGGTGTTGATTTCCTAAGATTTAAGATTGATAGAGATGGCACCTTGAAAAAGTTTACAGGGTTCAAAAATAGTTATGAATGATAAAAAGGCAGTAAGCACCCAAAAATGCAATTTAAAAGCTTTAAAGTTTACAGGAAAATGTGCAAACATGTCTTAGAAAAAGAGATCACCTAAAAGGAATATTACTTATCTCCTACCTCAGGTGCAACATGAAAGCTCGACCTTGGAGTAACATGTTCAGGGTGTTAAATGAGAGTAATGTAAAGGCCCAAATTTTATATTTGCTCAACCAGTAGTTACCAAATTGTGGCCAAATGATGGCCACAAGTCAAATTCTTCATATCATTTGTTTTTAGACATAAAGCTTACAGCCACACTCTTCATTAATTATCTAAGGCTGCTTTTGCACTATAATGACAGAGAGGAACAGTTGCTTCAAAATAACAAGGGAGAAGGAAATGTCACTATAAACGTAGTGGGCAGAACTTGTGATGATTTGTTCATTGTTACGATGGGTGATGAAAACATGCATATACTTATACTATTCTGATTTCTTCCAATCTTGAAATAAATAAACTTTGCTTTTTGTCTACCATTCTATTAGTCCAATATGTCATTAAATCAAACAAACATTTCTAAATTTTAATTAGACTTAGATATGTTTTATTCTCACATATCGTTATATGAACAAGAAATTTTATTATAATCTAGAAAAATGTAAAATAAAAATCAATGCAAGCTACTTTGTTTTCAAAGAAAATGTATTTCAATAGATACTATAAAGGACAAATGGGAAATTATCTTTTTATTTTATTTATTTATTTTTTTTTGAGATGGAGTCTCACTCTGTTGCCCAGGCTGGAGTGCAATGGTGCAATCTCGGCTAACCACAACCTCTGCCTCCCAGGTTCAAGCGATTCTCCCACCTCAGCCTCCCGAGTAGCTGGGATTACAGGCATGCACCACCATGCCTGGCTAATTTTGTATTTTCTAGTAGAGATGAGGTTTCTCCACGTTGGTTAGACTGGTCTCAAACTCCTGGCCTCAGGTGAGCCACCTGCCTCGGCCTCCAAACTGCTGGTATCACAGGAGTGAGTCATTGCGCCCGGCTGAGAAATTATCTATTGGAAAAAGAATAGCACATTAGAAATAAAAAAAATCAGTATAAGCATGCTGGAATGGATTTGCACCTGACAAAATTATGGGGATAGATAAACTGTTATAATTGGATATTTTAATATACTTCCTTCAGAAAATAAAAATTATGTCCAAATACGAATAATAACATAAAAAGGTATATGATGTCTCTAACCCAAACAAACCAAGGATAAGCATTTCAATAAAAATCAAAGAAATAGGCCGAGCACTGTGGCTTATGCCTGTAATCCCAGTACTTTGGGAGGCCGAGGCGGGTGGATCACAAGGTCAGCAGTTTGAGATCAGCCTGGCCAATATGATGAAACCCTGCCTCTACTAAAAATACAAAAATTAACTGGCCGTGGTGGTGGGTGTCTGTAGTCCCAGCTACTTGGGAGGCTGAGGCAGGAGAATCGCTTGAACCTGGGATGCAGAGGTTGCAGTGAACCAAGTTCACGCCACTGCACTCCAGCCTGGGTGACAGAGTGAGACTCTGTCTCAAAAAAAAAAAAAAAAAACAAAGAAATATTGGAGATATTTTAAAAAATAGATTCTAAAATGTATAATAAAGAATATGTATGTATTATCATAGAAACAAATCAGCCTGAAAAGGAAGCTGTAGCCAAGCACATGTGAAACCATACTGTAAAGGTAAGTATTTAAAAGTATGGTACTGATGCAGGAACAACAACAAAAAATTCAAGTGATAAATGTGCTCAGGCACAGATTTATTTATAGATAGAATATTTATTAATTAACAGTTAGTAATGTAAATAGAAGAGGCAAGAATTTCTCAGTAAAAAGAATTAAAGAGGAGTGATTAATCTTTGAAAGAACACTAAGTTGAATTTCTTATGTTATTTAGAAATCTGAAATCTATATTTAAGAAGCAAATGTGAAAGGCAAAACAAACCTGATGGATGAAAATGTGCACAGATGTCTTTGTGGCCATGAGGTGTGCAGAATATTTTATTTATTTGTTTATTTATTTATTTATTTATTTATTTTTGAACTTTTATTTTAGAGTTGGGGGTACATGTGAAAGTTTGTTACCTATGCAAACTTGGGTCACAGAGGTGTGTCGTACAGATTATTTCATTGCCCAGGTATTAACTACCCGATAGTTTTCCCTTCAGCTCTTCTCCCTCCTCTCACTTTCCACCCTCTAGTAGAGCCCAGTGTCTATTGTTGCCTTCTTTGTGTTCTTAGTTCTCATCATTTAGCTCCCACTTGTAGGTGAGAACATGCAGCATTTAGATTTCTGTATTAGTTTGCTAAGGATAATAGCCCCCAGCTCTGTCCATATTCCCACAAAAGACATGATCTCTTTTTCAAAGGCTGCATAGAACTCCCTGGTGTATATGTACCACATTTTCTTTATCCAATGTTTCACCGATGGGCGTTTAGGTGTATTCTACATCTTTGCTATTGTGGATAGTATCTGCAATGAACATTCATGTGGTGTGTCTTTATGTTAGAATGATTTATATGCCGCTGGATGTATATCCGGTAATGGAATGTTAGGTCGAATGGTAATTCTGCATTTAGATCTATGAGGAACCGCCATGCTGCTTTCAACAATGGTTGAAGTAATTTAACAATACTTCAAAGCACACTTTATATGTTGATACTGAGACGTTTGATTACATAAAAAATTGCAGATTTATTTTCAACAAAGGAAATCTTAAGTAAAATTAGCAGATAGATGGCAATATGAAAGAACATATTTGCAATTCCTAAAACTGACAGGGAACTCTTTGCATAACAAAACATTTAAAATGGAAACAAGTAAGAAAATGAAGATTAAGTGTAGACAGTACACTAAACATAAGTATAAATGCCTAAGAATACAAAGACATCAAACTCTTTATAACCAGCAAAATATCTGTGAAATACCATTTTATATCCACCAAATTGGCAGAAATTAGGTAGTTGGATCATTCTAAATGAACATTAGTCTATATGGGCTGATATTTAAAATTAGTCTTAAGTGAAAATTGATAAGTAAATACATTATCTCTAGATCCAATACTATATGAATTAGTGTTTTTAAGCTATATATATCACAAGTTAGCATAAACATTCAATGACCTATATCCACCACATTAGGGTTATTTATTGTCTATGAAATGAGGCGTGGCATATCATTAACTCATATCTGCCCAACTCAATTCTTCATCAATATAATAAACGGTACTATAGTAGTTTTATTAGTATGACTGGGTAATAGCTGATTTATTTTTTATTTCTTCTAAAAAGCTGGATTTTTTTTTTTACCTTTTATACTCACTACTGATTTAATCGGAATGTGTTTAGTTCTCCTGCGCAATATTAAAAAAGGCTAATAAGGCTGGGCACGGTGGCTCACGCCTGTAATCTCAGCACTTTGGGAGGCCAAGGCAGGCGGATCACGAGCTCAGGATTTGAGACCAGCTTGGCCAGCATGGTGAAACCCCGTCTCTACTAAAAACATAAAAATTAGCTGGGCGTGGTGGCAGGCACCTGTAATCCCAGCTACTCGGAGGCTGAGGCAGGAGAATCGCTTGAAACTGGAAGGCAGAGGTTGCAGTGAGCTGAGATTGCGCCATTGCACTCCAGTCTTGGCAAAAGAGCGAAACTCCGTCTCAAATAAAAAAAAAGAAAGAAAAGGACTAATAAAAGCATCAAGTTACTTAAATTATCATAGGCAAAAATCAGCTACATTAGGATTCAGAAAAGGAGGTTCAATTTTTCTTCCATTTCACAGTTCTACCAAAACAGTAATGCCAACAGTAAAGCTGGTGGATAAAAGTGGATACATTATTGATGAATTCCAGAAAGTTTAATGAAGATCATTATGAGAAATATGAATGTGATGTACTCTAGTTATTCCATTCACATTCAATTTAAAACATTAAATATGCTTGAAAATATTTTTATTATTCCAACATCCCTCTCCTGCCCAGAGCATCACTCAAAAAATAGCCTGTGGGTTGCTATCTTTCAATTTATAATTTATTTCATCTCTTTATTTTAATCTTATAAGTTAACTTTGGTTGGACACAGTGCATTTGACTAAGCTAGCCATATTTGGATTGTTTTAATATTCACATTCATAGGACGTTAAAGGCATTGTGTAGCAGAAGCGTACTTGGTTTACACAATTGAAGAAGGCAAGTAACAAGGCACTGGCTTACAATTTCAGGGCACAGCCTCCGATATACCTAATATACACTTAAGATATGTGGGGACACAAAAGAAGAGGCCGAGTGTGCATGGAAAATCTCATTTTAGAGAAGACTATGACAGCATAAACTGTTATACTTTAGTAAGCCGTACAACTTCTCAAATATATGAAGAAAAAAGAAAGAAAAGAAAAAGAAAATGCCGTTTTCCAGCACAAAAACATCTCATTTATCAGTTACTAATTATATTCTGGTTAATTTAAAAAATGAAGTACAGATGCTCTGTAAGGGTGATAATCCTAAGCCACATTTTCATTCCTCTTGGATCCAGTATAAATAAACTTCTGTTGACTCCTTGAGGCTATTGTTCAAAGAAGGATTCTAAGTGTCAAATCCTCAAGCATTTCTGAGGCAGAAAGATGTAGAACCAGATGCTAATGTTTTCTTTCCAGTTAACCCCATGACTCTCCCTAAATATTCCTCAGGAATTTTTATAGTTCTTATTACAGAAACTTCTACAACGCATTAAATTCCAACGAAGAAATGGTAAAATTTGATGTTCATCAACAGTTTTACCATCCAACGAGCACCTGGAATTTCCTAAACAGATGTGATAATCATTACCATAACTTCTTGCAAGTTTTCAGTTTTCTTTGTTAATTGGATTGTTCTTTCTTTCTATATACTTATGTCTTGCACCCTTATATGGATATTAATATAGACAGTCAATAGTATATGTTAATTTTTAAAGTTAAATTCATTTTTCCTTCTGAGACTCCGTAAAACATTATAGGTGTGTACACTTTTAGGCATTTTAATATTTGATACTGTCTTTATATGATGTAAAATTTTTTTCTAAAAATAGACTTACAGGTCCAATTTTGTTCTATGGTGTTTCAAAATCTTCCTTAAAATAACTCTTTGCCAAACATAATATATTTATGTAATCAGACACAAGTGCTTACATAAATATAAACATATATATTATACAGATATTCATAAATATATAGAAATTAATATTTGAATATGTAATTTATCTACATATAAAAAAACTAGTTACACTAGAAATACTGATGAGCAGGCTTAGTGAACAATATTTTATAGGCATCCTTACCTTATCAGTATTTACAGATTCACACTATGTTAGTTACTAGCTACAAATAATATTGCCTTAAGAATATTTATTTAGTCATACTCTTTATGATAAAAGTTCACCTTATATGTACATATTTGCCATTGTATATAATGCATCAATGAACATCGTCAAGCATATGTCTCTGCACACTTATTTGACAATTCCAGTTTAAATAAATTATTCAAAATTCAAAGTCAAATTATTTGAATTTGTATAAGTGTCATTCTTCTTTAAAGCAGTTCCACAAATTTACTAGCACTAGTGTGTATGAAAGAATTCATATTATTTATGCACATCACATTTCAAAAATAATCAAATGAAGGTCATTAAATTATAACTTTTAATAAAATAACTATATTCATATGCCACATTAATCAAATAAGAGTAGAAAACAGAATATATTATTACATAATGTTCTTGCCCTATCAGCCATGAAGCAGATCAAAAGCCATTGCTAAGTAATACATATTCATATGTGTTTATTTTATAAAATAAACATTCTGTTATAAATTCACATGCTTTCATTACAAGTAGGATATAAAGGAACAGACCACATCCCTATTTTAGTGAAGCAACATAAAGTTAATTAAATGTGTTGCAACTTGTCTAGGGTTACTCTATAAAACTGGATAGCAGAAAGTAGTGGTTTGAAATCTGAAATATGCATAAGGTTCTTACATGTTTTAAACTAAGATTAATTAATTTTTCCACAAAAATAAACACTTCTGATATACTTTATTGGGCCATTTAAACTGAAATGAGATATTCCATAAGGAAATTTTGTCATAATATTAGATGAGATTATAATTAGGATTTTTAAGACTTTTAAAATTCTCTAATCTAGTCACATTTGTGATAGTCCATGTAATCATGTCATAATTATGAGTACTTCTATGTTTGAGTTGCAACTTTGGACTATTTATTTTTTATGTAATAAGATCCATTTTGTATACTTAGATTTACCAAAAATTTTCTTTATAACAACTTTGCAAAGGAAAAACGAAGAAAATGTTCATGATGATGGCGATAGGTTCTGATGTTTCTGAAACCACTTTCTGGGCTTGTTCTCCAAATAGCTTGGAGTGCGTTGTATTCACTTTCATGTTCACTAATGCCTTTTACTTCAACATCTGTATAACTAGCTACCTAATGTAGCTAAGTAGCTTAAAGGCATTAACTTATTCATACTTACAGAATCCAAAAATTTCTGAAAACCATAATACAGTTACTTAGCAGAAAACCTGAAGAAAACCAATTTAAGACTACTTATGTTCTTTATATGTCTCACTTAGTGTGATCATTTATAGCTGCAGAAATGTTAATGTGTTGCTATAGGGATAATTCTTAAGATGCTATGTAGGTTGTAAATATTGAATGTCATATGTGCTTGTTTGTTTTTCTGAAAGCCAAAAGTGTAGACTCATGTGATTCAGATGAAGGTTGAGAATATAAAACAGACAACAGATTAATTGTGCAACCATAATTATTAACCATCAAAAAGTTTGATGTAATATAATATGTCTCCAAGCTAATATTCATACTCTCAAATTGAGCTTCTCAACCCAAAAGAGTGAAAGACATTAGAATTTCAGTGTGAACAAGTTAATGGGAAAGAAATTAATATCAGAATAAAATTCCTAAGAGATCCCCAAAATACTATAATATACAAGTAGCTTATTTTAATTGTGGAAAGTCAACAGACTTGTTTTTCTTATTTTTATGAAGTTATTCCAAGAAGTTCAAAGATGACTAAAAAGTAAGAATTGGGTAACTTATACAATATGCTTTTATTTTTCATTGTGACTACTAAAGAGTTAGAATAAATTCCATACATATTTTCCTATTTTTCTCTCATTTTATTTTCCATTGTTACCTAATTGGATTTTTTTTTAGGAGATAACATTTTTTTCCTCCACATGTGTCTGCCTCCTTCACGACTGCAAGCCAACTCTGGCAGGTGAGGATAATGAGAAGACAATCTCTTCTCATTCACTCTCTCATCACTCACTGTGTTTCTCCCATTAGTTTCTTAGTTTTGCTCAGTGTCAATTTCACTGATGCCAAAAAGATACCATAGTTCTATGTTGTCTCCAAACCCGATTATCAGAGCAGCATGCTTTATTTCTCATGCCTAATCACATGTAAAATTTATTTTGACTTTCATTTTAGTTCATTAGAGATAGTGAATGCAAATCCATTGGTTATTTTATATTTGTTTTTAACATGTAGTTAATTTGTATTGTTTTGCTCTTTGTATAGAAAATGGCTAGCTCTTTTTGAAATAATACTAGCTAAAATGTGCATAGCATTTTTGTGTAAAGCATTTCTGATATTTTATTTAATTTCAGAGAAAAAATAAAAAGACTATTTTCTTCCCCATTCAAGTGAGAAGGAAACTAAAATTTAAAGCAATAAATATGCCTGTGACTACAACAATAATTAAGCAGTTGAGTACATATTGTATTCAAGCTGATTTCAAGCTAGCAGTTTTAACTACTTTTCTTCATGGCTTCTCAATATGACAGATATGATTTTAGTGATTATACAAATAGAAGACATTCATAAATAGGCTATTTTTGCTATTGCTGATAATATCATGCTACAGTTAAATAATACCATTTGTAGAAAACATGAAATACTAAAATAGCATGAAATTTATATTTAATAAGTTTAATAAAATCAGTGCAATATTGCTTGATATTTTTTGAATTAAGTGGGTGGGTACAATATTTAATATTTTACATGTCATATTCAGATTTAAATGATAAGTATTTTAAGACCTGAAGAAATCTAAGCTTGTAGAATGGTTGCAGTCTGAACAGTGTGAAATATGGTGAGTTGTAGTGGTTTAGAAAAATGACTCTGGCTATCTGCACTCAATCTGTGGCTCTAAAAGTCTCAGTTTTCGAATCTGCAAAGTGAGTAGGATAACAGTACCTACTTCACAGGGTCTAGACAGTATTAAATTAATTAATACATGTAAAATAGCTAGACAATTGTCAGGTTCATAAGAACTATGAATTTCTTTTGTAATTTTATAAAGTACATAAATATTGTAGTTAGAGAAACAGAAGTTTGTATTGCAACTTTGCTATCAGCTTGCACCTAGAGCATATATCATCCATCATAACAGCCTTTATAAAATATCTAGGAAATAGAGCTGATAAGATCTATTTTGAAATATGTGGAAAAGTTGCATATAAGAAAAGTGCATCTTAAAATATGGGGAAAAACCTAATTTTTAATTTGTTGAAAAATTATCCTATGAGTCAAAAGTTGTCCTATGATTGAAAAGATTGACAAGTACTTGTGAAGTACAACAAAAAAAGTGAGACAAGTCCTGGAAAATACTGAAAAATTGTATAACACATATTGAACAATTCTATATAAAGAGTTTCTACAATATAAATAAGAACAAGACCAACAATCTAATAAATAATCACAAGATAAACAGCAGTTTCATACAAACACCCACATACACACACAAACACAGAGATATGTAAATATTCCTAATATATAAAATAATGTTGAATCCTTCTTTTAATTAGAATTGAGCATAGTAAAATATTCTAAGGTCCCATTAATTATCTATGACATTGACAAAAATGCAATAATTTGATAATATATTCTGTCGGGAAACTTGTGGTTAAATGAATAAATTCATGTATCTCTTGTCTAAATGCAAAATAATAGAAGCACTGCGAAGAGAGATTTGACAAAATCTTGCAAAACGACATAGGCATTCACATTTTCAACCAGCAAAAGTATTTCAGGAATATATTTCTAACATGCATTTTCAATAATACATTTAGACATGTACAACAGTTTAGTTCCTGTATATTTCTTATAGAAAATGACTGAAAACAACCCAAATATACAACAAAAGACAGGTTGAAATCCTCTGTATGCCGTTTCCTTAAAAAAACCCTGAGTGAACTTGTGCAAGTCAAGTAGCCTCAGACTATATTTATTTGCAAAATTAGTTAGATCAGCTCAATGATTGATTTGGTAATTTTATACAGAAACAAGTTATTTCACATGTTTACTCTTATCTTGGAAGAATAATTTTCATTTCATTGTGTGTTTATAAATTATTCATGCTGGAATCACTGATAGAAAACATCTCCAAATGTAGCAAGATTAGTTATTTTAGTAAATAGCTAGGTAGATGGAGATTGCAGTGAGCTGAGATTGTGCCACTGCACTCTAGCCTGGGTGATGGAGCCAGACCCTGCCAACAACAACAAGGACAACCACAAACCCACATAGATTAATTTCCAATAGATAATAATATGCTATTTCCTATTTAAAACATTGAATTACTTTAAGAATACAATCTTAGAATTTATTTTTTAAGTGTGGTTAACAGTTTTGCATATAAAAACACAATGTTTAAATAAGCCACCAAACCCTTCTAACAGTAATTAACTGAACAAGATTTGGAACTAGTTCTGCTAGTTGATTAGAGACTCAAGTATCAGACTCAAGTCGCATAAATTTTTTTCTATTGCAGTTTCCTTCCCTCTAATTCAGGAATAGTGGTAGCAACTGGTAAGTCTACCACATGTTTTCTGTGAAGACTAAGTGAGTTCATTTAAGTGAAGTGCTGCAAACATTGCGTGATGCTCAGTAAACAATGAATATGTTAATTATTATTCTTTTCATTGATAAATAACAGTTGTTAAAAACAAGCCCTCCTGTGAGAGTGTAATGAATTCACTCTGCCCAATCTTAGTCACCCTGACCTAAAGAAATCAAGACCTACTTCAAACTGTATTTAAAAAAAAATAGCTTCCAAACTTTGCAACTCACTGTTATCCTTGTCCTTTATTGGCCAGGAGACACTCTCTTTTATCTCTTGCCTCCTCCTAACTGTCCTGCAGAAGCACTTTTCTGATAATATGGAAGCAATTCAATTTCTTCTCCAAGGACTTGTAAATAATCACTGTATGTTCATTAACTTTTCACTTTGAGAAAATGGTAGAGATTGTTCAGCCCTAACACTAATAATTCAACAATTTTCTCATTTAATGACACTGTTACTTATTATCTCTGATGCTAAACTCCTTCACTCATTCATTATAGTAACCAATGAGTGCAATGACTTGGTCAAGCTAATGAAAGTAAAGCTTTAAAATCCCCCTTGTTATTTATCACAAGAGTTCTGGTGCTTTCAGGATTCAGAAGACAAACCACTGCCCCCCAGATGTCTTGGTCATCACACGACTTCATGTCTTGCCTCCTAATGAGTAACTCTCTGCTGCCACTACACTCTGCCACAACCTCCCACTCCACCATTTTTCTGTCCTGCCATCACTAAATACTGGGTAGAGGCCAAGATTCCTCAGTGAAGCTTTAAACAGCTTTTCCTCCAAGAGTGTTGTGGGTTGTTTAATTCCCGTTATAGCCTTCAGTGGCACTCTGGAAATATATCTGCTCTCTAATCTCCCCACCTTAAGGAGAGGAGTAAAAGAATAATAAAGAGAAATTACTGAAGTCACACAGTTTTCCTCCACTGATAAAGTTTAATCACATATGTTCCCAAAGGGTTAGCCAAAATGAGTAGCTCATTTGTCTCCATAGAAGCATTACACCTGAATTTTAACTCCCCTTCTCAGAATATGACCACAGAGGGGAGAAGGAAAAATAATGGAAGGCAACCTGTATCTGTAAGGATCTTCTGATATCTGAATACCCTCTTAGCATACCCACTCCAAAAAGAAGAGCTAAATATTTATACCCAATCTTCTAAAATCAGCTCTAGGAAGAATTTGTCAGTCTCTGAAAGATATGATTAACTTCTTATTTTCAGAGAAGAAATTATCCCTGATTTTTATAAATTTAATTACTTTTGAGGTGACAGGTAAAATTGTATGTATTTACTGTGTACAGCATGATGTTTTGCAGTATATAAATATTGTGGAATGACTCAACCTAGCTAAGTAACATGCACATTACCTCACTTAGTTATTGTTTTTGTGGTGAGAACACTTTACATGCACCCTATTAGCATTTTTCAGGAATACAATATATGCACCCAAGGGAATACTATTTAGCTATAAGGAAGAAGGAAATTCTGTCATTTGCAACAATATATGTGAACCTGGAGGACGTTAAGTGAAATGACCAAGGCATAGAAAGAAAAATAGTGCATGATCTCACTCATGTGTGGAATCTAAAAAGTTGATCTCCTAGAACTAGAGTAGGCTGGTGGTTACCAAGGACTGAGGTGGTTGGGGAACAGAGGATTGGGCAGATGTTGGTCAAAGGATAAAAAATTTCCATTAAGAAAAATAAATTCAAGAGATCTATTTTAAAAGCTGGTCACTATGCTTAGTAATATGTTGCATTCTTCCTAAATTTCTCTCCATAGTCTACATTTGTAGAATACAAATAATTAAAGCTAAAGGCCCTGCTAACCAAAGTATTTCCTAAAAATGTGTTAATTTGTTATTTTTTTCAAAATATATCTAGAAAATTTATCAGTTATGTAAGCTTTAAGGGAATAAAATATCACTTTTAACTTGACAAATATTGTGTAATAGTGTGATTGAAATTTACAAAGATGTTATAATTTTAAGAAACGTTGTTGGGTTGCATTACTTTTAAAGTCCCTATTTGTAAACATCACTAATTTTTGAATTTTTAAATTTTTACTTATGAATACATAATAGTGGCACATATTTATGGGGTTCATGTGAAATGAATATTTCATTGATTTGTAGTCTTTTATAAAATTTTATTAAATTGCATTATTTTTTGTAAATTTTATGTATCTTTTGTAAAATTATGTACATTATAAGTTTTAATTTTCATTAAAATTTGTATTTTGATGTTATTATAATGAAACTTAATATGCATTCATAATGTAAATATTAACTATTCTTTACATTCCCTTTTAGCATTGACAATGCCTAAATTTTAAAGATAAATATCTTGATTTATTTTTTAAAAATTTAAAATATCATTATGGATACATAATAGTTGTATATATTTATGGAGTAAATGTGATATTGTGATGTAGGCATCATTGTATAATGATAAAATAAGTGTAATTGGGATATCAATCACCTCAAACATTTACCATTTTTCTGTGTGTTAGGAAGATTAGAAACAGTCCAATTTCAATCTTTTGGTTATTTTAAAATACACAATGTATTATTGTTAATTATAGTTGTCATATTGTGCTACCAAGGAGTAGATCTTTTTCATTGTAGCTAACTATATTTTTGTGCCTGTTAACCATCCTCACTTTATCCTCTACTCCTCACTGCTCTTTCTAGCTTCTGGTAACTAACATGCCATTCTCTCTCATTGAATTCAATTTTTTTTTTAGCTCCCACTAAAGAGTGAGAACATGTGATAATTGTCTTTCTGTGCCTAGCTTACGCCACTTAACACAATACCTTTCAGCTCCATACAGTATTTCAATACTTTTATGGCTGAATAATGTTGCATTGTATATATGTACCACCTTTTCTTTATTCATTCATTCACTGATGGACACTTAACTTGATTCTATATCTTAGCTATTGTGACTAGTGCTGCAATAAATATGGGATCACAGACATCTTTTTGATAGCCTGGCTTCCTTTCTTTTGGATACATACTCAACAGTGGAATTGCTGGATCATATGTAGATCTATTTATAGTTTTTTGAGGAAATCCCATAATGTTTACCATAGTGACTGTATTAATTTACATTCACCAACAGTGTAAGAGGAGAAAGAATTTTATTTTCTGCACAACCTCACCAGCATAAATTATTGCTTGTCTTTGGATAAAAGTAATTTTAACTAGGGTGAGATAATATCCCATTATACTTTTGATTTGCATTTTTCTGATCATTAATGTTGAGCATTTGATAAATATACGTGTTGGCTATTTGCATGTGTTGTTTTGATAAATGTCAATTTAGACTTTTTACCAATTTTTAATCAGATTTTTTTTTCCTATTGAGTTGTTTGAGCTCTTTATATAGTCTGGTTATAAATGCCTTGTTAAACAGGCAGTTCGCAAATATTTTCTCCCATTCTGTGGGTATCTCTCTACTTTGTTTGTTTCCTTTGCTGTGCAGAAGCTTTTTAGCTTGATGTGATCCCATTTGTCTGTTTTTGCTTTGGTTGCCTGTGCTTCTAAGTTCATATTAAAAAATTGTTTTTAAGACCAATGTCCTACAGTATTTCCCCAATGTTTTCTTCTAATAGTTTCAGTTTCAAGTCTTACGTGGAGGCCTTAAATCCATTTGATTATATTTTTGTATATAATGAGAGATAGGGGTCTAGTTACATTCTTCAGCATATGGATATCTAATTTTACAGTACGTTTATTGAAGAGACTGACAATTCCCCAATGTATAATTTTTACACCTTTGTCAAAAATAAGCTGTCTGTAAATGCATGGATTCATTTCTGGGTTCTCTGTTCTGTTTGAAAGGTCATTATATAATAAAAAGGGATAAATTCAGCAAGAAGAGATAACAATTGTAAATATCTATGCATTCAATACTGGAGAACCTAGATATATCAAACAAATATTATTAGAGCTAAAAAGAGATATACAGCATATTACAATAATAGCAGGGTCTTCAACACCCCACTTTAATCATTGGGTGTATCATCCATACAGAAAATCAACAAACAGTGGACTTAATGTGTGCTATAGACCAAATGGACCTAATAGAAATTTACACAATATTTTATCCAACAGCTGCAGAATACACATTCTTCTTCTCAGCATTCTCAAAACATATAACATTCTCAAAACATATAACATTCTCAAAACTAGACCACATATTAGGCCACAAAAGATATCTTAAGAAATTCAAAAATATTAAAATCATATCAAATATCTTCTCTCACCGCAATGGAATAAAACTAGAAATCAATAACAAGGAGAACTTTAGAAATTTTGCAAACAAATGGAAATTAAACAATGTGCTCTTGAATGAAAATTGGGCTAATGAAGAAATTAGGACAAAAATAAAAATTTTTTTAAACAAATGAAAATAGAAACACAACATGCCAAAACTTATCACATACTGCAAAAGCAGTACTAAGAGGGAAGTTTATAGCAATAAACACCTATGTAAAAAAAAAGTTTTAAAAAACTTCAAATAAATATTCTATGTATCTTAAAAAACTATTAATGCAAGAAAAAAACAAATCCAAAATTAGTAGAAGAAAAGAAATAATAAATATCAGAAGAGAAATAAATAAAATTGAGACTAATACAAAAGATCTGCAAAACAAAAAGTTTTTTTCTAAAAGATCAACAAACTTTGAGCCAGACTAAAGGAAAAAGGAAATAAGGACCAAATAATTAAAACCAGAGATGAAAAAAGAGACATTATAACTGATAACTTGGGAATTCAAAGGATTATTAGAGACTGTTACAGTCTCTAATAGTCCTTTTTTATTTTTTAATGAAATTTCACTCTTGTTTCCCAGGCTGGAGTGTAATGGTGCGATCTCGGCTCACCATGACCTCCGCCTCCTGGGTTCAAGCGATTCTCCTGCCTCAGCTTCTTGAGTAGCTGGGATTACTGGCGCCTGCCACCATGCCCAGCTAATTTTTGTATTTTTAGTAGAGGTGGGGTTTCACCATGTTGGCCAGGCTGGTCTTGAACTCCTGACCTCAGATGATCCACCCACCTCAGCCTCCTGAAGTGGAGGGATTACAAGCATGAGTAACCACACCTGGCCTACAGCAACTATTAATGTATACAAATAAATTGGAAAATCTGATATAAAAGAATAAATTCCTAGACATATACAACCTACCAAGATTGACCCATGAAGAAATCCAAAACATGAATACACCAATAACAAGTAATGAGATAGAAGTAAAATGAGAGATTTCCCTGATTCCCCTTGAGGGACAGGACATGCAAGAGGGGTCTGGCTCACCTGTTTTGTTGCCCCACAGCTCAAACTCCTAGGGGGAGCATGCAGTCGGGCAGATGCAGAGGCAAGGGTGAGTGCTTTGGGCTCTCAGTCCTCTGGCAGCTTCTAGGGGTGGCTGTCTGCGACTCCTTAAGCCCAAGAGGGCGTGTGTTAAAGTGTGCTCCTTTAGCTTTACTGTCTGCAGACAGCTTGTGTTTTAATCAGTTCAATGGATCCTGCCTTATCGCAAGGGCAGTGTGCCAGTGTGACATCCTTCTGTATTCTGAGCTCTTTCCCAATGTCCCCAAAGAATCAGATCATGTTCAGGCTCAAAGGATGAATGCAGGGTTTTATTGAGTGGTACAGGTGGTCCTCAGTGAGATGGATGGGGAGCCAGAAGGAGTGAAGGAATGGGAAGGTGGTCTTCCCCGGAGTTGGGCCACCCAGCAGCTGACTGTTTTCTGACGGCCCATGGGTGAACTCCCCTCAGTTCCCAGACATCCCTTCTATTTTCTCTTTCTCTGCAGCATCTTTCCATTGTCATTGATTGGCTGGTCTGCTGGTTCACTGGTCTGCTGATCTGCTTGCCTCCTCTTCTCCTCACTTGTGGGTCTCATCTGGAGCTTGGGATTCAGGGTTTATATAGGGAAGGATAGGGTGTGTGGTGGGCCAAAAGGCAACTTTTTGGGTGTGAAAACAGAAATGCCTGTTCTCATTTAGGGCCACGGGTCTTCAGGCATGAGGGTGGGGCCTTTGCCAAAGAACTGCCCTCTTCTACCCAATATTTCCCTGTCTCTGTTCCTCTAAGAAGCAATGATAAAACGTCTTCATTTAAAGAAAATTCCAGGACCTGATAGCTTCACTGCTGAATTCTACCAAACATTTAAAGAACTAATGCTCATCCTACTCATACTATTAAAAATTGAGGAGGAGGAAATACTTCCAAACACATCCTACCAGGCCAATATTACCCTTATACTACAACCAGACAATGACTAAGAGCAGAAAACAAACAAATATATATCTGATGAACATAGTTGCAAAAATTCTCAACACAACACTAGAAAATGAATTCAACACATTAAAATGATCATTCATCATGATCAAGTGAGTTTCATCCCGTGGATGCAGGCATGGTTCAACATATGCAAAGCAATAAATGTGATACAAGGTATCAACAGAATGAAGGACCACAACCATATGACCATTTCAATTGATGCTAAAAAAGCATTCAATAAAATTCAACAGTTCTTCATGATTAAAAACTCTCAAAAAACTGGGTATAGAAGAAATATACCTCAACACAATAAAAGTCATAGATGACAAATCCACAGCTAGTATTGTACTAAACAGGGAAAAACTGAAGACTTTCCCCTAAGATCTAGAACAAGACAAGGATGCCCACTTTTGCCACTTTTATTTAACATAGTGTGGGAGGACCTAGCGAGAGCAACTAGGCAACAGAAAGAAATCAAGTATATCCAAGTTGGAAAAGAGTAAGTCAAATGATCCTTGTTTAAATATTTTGTTTCAGACATAAACCACAAAATTTGAATGGAATATCCAATTAAAAAAATGTATAGATAGTTCTGTTCAGAAGTTGTCAAGTATATAAAAGTAAATAAGAAGTAACAAATGAGTTGTGAGTGTGTAACAAAGCACAATTTAAAGAGAGGCTAAAACATGTAGGTGTACCTAAGTAATACCCAGGCATGGAGGTATTATTTCTAGAGGTGAAAATACGTAAAAGTCCAATATTAATATCAATGCTTTCTATTTTATAAATAATCATTGCATGTCATCTCCTAAAGGCAATTGTTGATATTGAAAATTCCAAGGCTGCATAGAAATTATATTATTGATAGGAATAAGAAAAATTAATTAATGCCCATGTGTTTTAATTTTCTCACCAGTGAATGAAAATAGTGATAATGACTCTATCTTACAGAGTTACCTTGAGGAATACATAATTTAGCAAAATCTTTAAGAACCACAGAGTATCATATAACTTAAATATAGGCAAATAAGTTATTGGAATTCCACTTTTAAATTTGCAAATGGGGAAAGTCAAGCACCGATAGCTTTATTTATGTTTTTAATTCAAAATAATAATAAGTACTATAGATATCATGAACCTCTGAAAAGCAATCTTTTGTGAACAACCAGATCGTACAATGTCATGATTCATTGATTCACTTTAGAATAGTATATTTCAAATATATATGACGTAAATAAGACATTTAGTTTAGTTGATATATAATTTTTAGTTCTCCAGATAAGGTTGGGACTGCCAAAAAAAAAAAAAACACTAATGAAAAATGTAGCTTATTATGTTTTCCTAAAATGGGAACTTTTTCCCCACTAAATTTGACAAATATATATTTTTGAATTTACTTGCAAATTTCTAGTCTAAGAATATTTTGGTTATTCATGCGTACAAAGGAAATATTTTGAACAGTTTTACTCTAAGTTTCTTGTCTCCATTTCAGTTGAAATAGATGCTACAGGCATGGCCAACTAGGGTTTTGAATAATGTTTCTTCAGCTGCCAAATTGCTGCATATAAACTTGATTGAGACCGATTTAGATTTGGATTCTGACTGACTACACTAAATGCGAGGAATGAAATTAAACGGAAAATTACAGTTCAATCTAGTTCATTCCAGCGGGAACAAGCACTGTTATAGATATTTCTGGTCTTGCTACTTGCAGCTTCAAGTAAATCATGTGTTCACATTGGTCCATGTGAAAAATCCTCTTTGTAGTCTGACAACTTTCACATGTCTAAGGAAACAGAATAGATAAAATATAAATTCACAGGAGTAATCCAAAACAGATTCATTATCCAAACCTCTCTTCAGAAAGGCAGGGAACAAATGATGCAAAAAGAAGATAGTAAAAATGTAAGAATAATTTAAGCATTAAATGATAATTTAATCAATGTTCATGTGGATCAATTTAATGCTTGTTCAAATTTCCTTGTCGTTTTATCTGCTGACAATCTTTGATATATGTTAAGTACTAGTAAAAGAGAAAGTGATGTAAAGAATACATCCACTTTTTTGTAACAAGGATTTGGTTTTACTTTTGAGATAAAACACTTTATAGCAAGTTAGTTTTGCCGTGATATATATTAACGTAAGTCAAAAAGCAAAGGGACATAAAATGCTCTATAGTTTGAGACATTTTGCCCCAATCCTGTCCTGACATCTACTCTTCTCCTAAATTTCCCATAAAAATACTAAAGTTATTATAATGTATTATATAGTTCAAAATTGTTTAAAGAAATTTAAGAGATGTCATCACAAAGAAAAAATAGCCTAATATAATCATTCAACAATTTATACATGTAACATAACATCATATTGTACTCCATAAATACACAGAAGTATTATTTTTCTCAGATAAAATATAATTTATGAAAACAAACCTACTTTTTGTAGTCTCTTATAAAAACAACCAGATTTTCTTAGGGCAAATATGGATATGTTTTTTCAAACTCCACTTTTTTCATGTTAGTATATTACATATACTCTTCTATAATTTGTTGTCGTTGTTGTTTTAATCAGTCTATCTTGCATTACTTTCATATCAATACACAGACAGCATCCTAATTTTTTCAGATGCAGTATTCTTCATTGTGTAAGTGTAACATTTTATTTTTATTCATCGAATCTCATATTGCAGCATTGTGAATTGTTTCATCTTTTGCTATTATAAATAATGTTGCAATGAAGAGATCTATATATAAATGATTACGTATATATGCACTTATACCTAAAGGATATGTTTTTAATAGTGAGTTGGTGATTCGATGGATAAATTCATTTTTAATATTGATAGCTATTTCTAAGTTTGTTTCCACAATGGTTGTTTCATTTACACTCAAAACAGTAAAATATGAATGCCTATTCCCTACAGCCTGATCAATGGATTCTATTATTGTTAATCAAATATTTATCACAATTTTTATCACTTATTATTAGTATCTTTTTTGTTGTTGTTGAGATGGAGTTTCACTCTTGTTGCAATGGCACGATCTCAGTTTACTGCAACCTCCACCTCACAGGTTCAAGCAATTCACCTGCCTCAGCCTCCTGAGTAGCTGGGATTAAAGGCCTGCGCCACCACGCCTGGCTAATTTTGTATTTTTAGTAGAGACGGGGTTTCTCCATGTTGGTCAGGCTGGTCTCGAACTCCAGACCTCAGGTGATCCACCTCCCTCAGCCTCCCAAAGTGCTGGGATTACAGGTGTGAACCGTTATGCCCAGCCTAGTATCTTTTTTTTTTTTTTTAATAAGAGAAAGCAACAGCTGTCTTTAAGAATAGTTATATTTGTGATTACACCTCTAGAGGAATAAGCCTCAAAAGTGCCACTCTCTGCCTATATTGAATGTATTGAATGTCAGTATGTGGTTCTAGCTTCAAGTGGTCCTCTTTTTTTTTTTTTAATGGCCTCTAAATAATATCTCTCTCCTTGTTTTGGTCATTTTCCCAAGATTACCTGGGACATTGGTGCTCATGCATACAAATTATCTGAGTACCTCAATACGCATAGAATCCCAGGGTTTATATACCAATTAACCTAAACAGATACTTGAAATCTTAATTTTGTACAGGCAGGCCAGATGATTAATTTGTAGATGTTCCATAAACTATACCTTGAGGCATACTGTTTTTTGAGCCATCCTTAAATTAGCAGCTGATTCTGTAATATTGCAAAACAATATTTATTTTTAATTGCTTCAAATCTAAAGATTTGGTGGCTGTTTCTTTCACACAAAATTCAAGATGAGAGAGTGTCATAAATGGTTTCATTCTCTAGAAATTTGCCAATAAAAATTTACTTACATGAAATAGATTAAACTCTTATGGATGTTGCAGGGGTCAAGTAATCCCACAACTACATTTATTGCCAATGCCTTGTATTGTGTACTGATCACAGGTTTTATTCCTTCTTTTTAATATTTTTTTTTCTAATCAAGCTGCATTCTTAATTAAGTCTCTAAATCTGATTAGTACTAATGATTAGGTGCTTAGCTTAGGAGATCAACAAGATGCGCTGCAGTCTCAATTCATTTACCCACAGTAGATTCCAGCCTGTGTTATACATCCTTTGAGGTTAGTTTTCAGAATGACAGATTTCTGGATAATATTACTGAATGGTTACATATTTGGGATGGCAGAGAGCGTAGTGTCATCTGTGTGCAGACCAATGTTCCATAGAAGTAAGGCTGTCACAGTCAATTCAGTGACATGGTCCTAAGATCCCAAGTATTCTTAGAGAAGAGCAAGCTTTTATATGATCTAGAACATGATGTACTCACCCAACAATGCATTATACGAGAGTTTTCATCATAACAATTATTTTGTTCGACATATGTTCAACCAATATGTCATCTTATGTTTTATTTCTTTACATCACATTCAACTGGCATGCAATTTAAGTATCATTTATTGACATGCAATTGAATGTGATGTAAAGAAATAAAACATAAGATGATATTTTGGTTGAACATAGAAAAATGTACCTGGTAATGAAAAAGAGAAGAAGGAAAAATATCATTATATATTGAGCACTTGTTATATGCCCAGCCCTATGATAGGTGCTTTAGTAATATAGTTATTAATTTCAAGAACTTGGAATGTTATTACAATTAAGATTTGGAGAGTACAACGTTTCAATTATACAAGATGAATTAATCCTAGAATTCTACTGTACAGCATGGTGACTGTAGTTAACAATGCTGTAATTGTGTATTTAAAAAAATGCTAACAGAGCACATACGTTAAGTATTCTAACCGCAAAAATAATAAATAAGAAGGCAAGAGGAAACTAGGAGGTAACAGATATGGCATAGATTGTGGTGATGGTTTTATGGGTGTTTACTTACCTCTATACTAATCAAGTTGTATATATTAAATATAGAGAGCCTTATTTATGTCAAACATACATCAGTAAAGTGATTAAAATATTATTGCTATGTGAATTAAAAGGCATATATAACTTTTAAGTGACATTGTTTGGATTTGATTAAAATCCTGAAGCCTAGGCTATTTAATATTTTGGCTCTTAATTCTTATTTTTTAGCAATATTTTGAAAAATAATTCTAGTATGTTCATTTTTTTCCTTAAAATTCTCTGAAAAATGTTTTAATTTCAAATCAAGCATTCAACACAACAATTGCATTTCCAGCACTAATATTCAAAGAATTGAACTCTCTGTGTATTCTCTTCTAAATATGCTACAAGGCATGCCAAATTATAATGACAATATCTGTTAAATTTATAATGAAAAATGCAAACATTTAATAAGACAAAACTTTAAAGCTGTTAGAACATTTTTATCTCTAGGCAATTTACTTGGAAACTTGCTGTATATTTATTAGATTGTGAGGTGAGCTTGAAATCAGAAGATATTTATGGAGTTTCTAAGCAAAACTGGGCTCAACACTCCCACCCAGTTGCTTGCTCTGCTGCTCTCTCTCAATACTAGAGGAAATTGAATCTTTGTGGATTTCTTCACAGGTATAGTGGAAACATCTCACATGTAGTTTTATCCTCTACATAGATAATTCAAATTATGTATATAAAAAAATGATCACAAGATTTATAATAAAGATAAATGTAGAGGGAGAATGAAGAAAAGAAAATAGGGAATGACCACATGGTGATTAAGTTAACTTATTGTCTTTGTTCTAACATTCCGCTATATGGTACTTTTTAAATTAATAGATCAATCGATCGATCAATAGATCAATAGACAGACACATATATACATACATACATACACACATACACATACACATATAGATACACACATAAAATCTTGCACAATGCAATGATGGGTATAAGTTGTGAACCAGGATTTTAATCCAATGCTGTGAACATACAATCTCTTAAAGAAATAAAAGTAAAAAAACAAGAAAGAAAAGGTCAAATTTTAGCTAACAAAATGTAACTGTGACATACTCCCTGAATAAATTTTCATCAAGTTACTGCTAGAAAACTATCATTTTTAATTCCAGGCTTCCCAAGCTACCTAGCATACACTGATAAATTATTGCTGTATTTTCAGATTGCTAACTATTTCTGTGGCATCAGGTTTGCCTGATTTATTATTTTTACAGGTTAACTTACCTCCAAGTTCTTGGGATAAAACTGCATATTAACGCTGTAGGACCAATAGGTCATATATATGCCTGCTATGCAGTGACACACCAATACACTGAGACAGAAGGATCTGCAGCAGAGAAAGAGTTTAATGATTGCAGGACACCTAGGGAAGAGATGGGAAGAGACCTTCAGATTCATTTCACCAAGGATTTCTGGGCCAAGATTTTTAAAATAGGATCATAGAGTGAAAGGGGCTGGAAAATTGAGTTCATTGATTGGTTAGGGTAAGGAGAATGAAATCACCCAGATTTTGAAACTTCACTATTAGGTCCGTCAGCTCCTACTGGGTCCTTCAGACCAGCTGGCATCAATGAGGTCCTTCAGATGAGCTGTTGTCCACAGAGTCCTTCAGACCAACTGACATCCGCAGTTTCACTGGTATGCAGGACGTGAAAGAATCTCTCAAAGGGGAAACTTAATGTTTCATAAAGTTCACATTGTTATCTACAGAACAGTTAAGAAGAACTATACTCTTATGATAGGGTCTGCATGATTCTGAGGCAATAGGCACTGAACGACTAACTATGAGAGACTGAGTTAGAAAGTAAGCTGACCTAATGATCAATTTGCTGAATGTGCTACAAGCTTGGTTTATTTTGGTTTCTCCCCCTTCCTTCTTTCCTGGTTAATAGTTAATTTTATAAAGTTTATAAGGATAGTTTTATTAATACTCCCAGATACTCTTCCAAAATAGATCAGTTAAAAGAACTAGTCAGTAATACAAAGAGAGAGAGAGAAAAAATGAGGTTGGAGAAACAAATAATGTCACTGTCAGTTTTCTGTAGCCAGATGTGAAGATATATGAGATATATGGCTTACCTCATTCTGCAGGCAGGAATATTTCTACTGAGAATATTCATGCATCAGACTATCAGGATTTATTATTAAAATTTTCTCCTTATTTAGATTTTATGACTATCAATCAATTATTGAAAAATGTGTCAACATCTAAAGGAAATCCATCCTCAGTGGAGAAAATATATTATTCAGATGAGAAGAGTAAGTTGCCTTCTCATTGCAAAATAATAAATTGACATTTGAACTAACTGGCATCTGAGGGCTCTGTAAGTTATTCCTGAGAAACAGATTAATTTCCAGTGTGCTGGTAAAAGCTCTTTCTGCCCCAACTCTTCTTACGAAACTGGAGACATTTTTGCTAGAGTAAAGTTGTCCTGTGACACTTCTTGGTCGACAGCCAACTTATTTCTCCTGATGACACTTCAACTTCCCCTGCTCGTCCTATTCACACTTCAACAGGTTCTACTTGATTGAAGTACCCCCTCAAGCCTGCACAAATGGAGATAACTCTCTTAATTAGACTTCTCAGCATGTGCCTGAAAACCTTCTGTGAAGTCACCAATCACAAACCTGCAAAGAAAAACAGAATCAGAGAATGCCTGCTAGTAACTTTCTGAGACCCCTCTCAACTTCCCTGCCTCCTGTCTTCTTTTAGTTTGCCTGTCTGGCTAGTCTATGTAATTTTAAACTCAAATCTTGTCTCATCTTAGACTTAATAAAAGCAGTCTCAGACAAGCACATATGAAGTAGTAAGGACTGCATTTTTGCTTTCAAGTGTAACTCCAACATTTGCTAGCACTCCAATTAGCAGAAAATTTTGTTACTTATAAATTGTTTTTCAAGTACATAAAAAAATCACTCAACATTTGGAGTGAATTGGTCAAACTCTACTCCTCTATGTTATAACAAACGTCTTAACATATAAGAAAACAATTATTTTTACTAATTAAATTCATGAGGACTTTTTAAGGGGTAAGTATATAGATAAATTGATGTAAAACTTTTTGTGCCCATATCTGTATGTTACTGAAAAATATTACTAGTCCATCATGTTGATATGGCATAAACATTTAGGGTAACACATGTTTTATTTTAAAAGAAAGTAATGTGTATATGTTTAAAAAATCCTCAGTATTTATGGACTCTGTATTTGCAAATATGCCAGTTTTACAAGTTTAACATTTATGTGTAACCCCAAAATCAACACACCTGGTGCTTTTACCATCATTCATGGATATGCGGACAGCACTGAACAATTTTAGTCACCTGACACACAGTTCCCAGCTGAAGCTAAACAAGGCAGTGCTCTACCTTTTTGTTTTAGTCCTCATACTGTAAACAAGGGTCCTTTTAAAGTACATTTAGGATTACATTTTTTTGCATTTTTGTGCTTTTTGTTGGTGATTTTCCTGTTTAAAGTGGACTCTGAGTATAGTACTGAAGTGTAATCTACTTTTCCTAAGCTCAGAATGGCTGTGATATGCCTTAAGGGGAAATGTTTTTGTTAAATAAGCTACATTGAGGTATGAGATATAATGCTTTTGGCCAGTTCTATGTTAATGAATCACCAATATTTATTAAATAAGATGCCTTTTAAAAGAAATGCACATTAAACAAGGTTATGCATTCATTGGTTGACAAAGGTGTTGTCATGGGTGTCTCACAGGACCCTTAACCTCTATTCCAGCCACAAGCACTCTTCAGTATTTACTCCTTCAGTGCTCAGCCAAATTTATAGAACATAACTACTGGGAATAACTTGAATCATCTGTAAACACACACATGACTCGAGCTGAATACGGTTTACTTTAATTAGACAGATTTTATTCATATTAATATGTTTTGTTTCCATTCACTAAGTACTTTATCTTCTATTTTCTAAATACATTTAGAAATTATTCGCAGAATTTAACTAATTAACAATAGATCATTTAATCAATATAAAGTAGACGGAAATAAAATATAGCAATATAATACAGCAATGTAAACTACTTCTTCTAGAACTTGTTTATGGATGGTTTTCCAATTACAGAGAACCTGCCCCTTCTTAGCTTTGTAAATTTATTCCCTCTGGCCACAGCTGATTGTACCAAGAGAAAAAAAAAATCTCACTCAAGAAAGACAAAAAAGGAAACGATACATAGAATGAAGCAAAATAACATGGATGCTGAAGCACTAAAATGAGTGTTTGAATTTGGCTGTTATCTCTAAAGCAACCTTCAATTTAGAGACAAACTGAGTAAGACTAACCTTATGACACTCCTCATACGTAGATTATGTGATATTTTTCTACACATTTACAATAAACTACAATTTTAGTTATTCTAATGTATACAGATTTATATTCTATCAAAAATTTTGGTTCTGCACCAGACATCTTTAGATTTAAAATAGTCTTAACAAGATTTGGGTATTACACGATGTGATATTTAAAGTATAATAAAATTGATTATGAATTTGTTATTTAAGAATTTTAAAAACATAATATTTTTGATCATTTGGTCTTCAGAAAAAGCAAAAAAATGAAATAATTTTAAAAGAAGATAAAAAATAACATTTGTATGCAGCTTGAATTATTTTACTATTTACTATCAGATTATGTGCTGTCAGATACTATCTGAGCATCAGCATCTCAAATATGAAATGAAAGAGGAAATGAATTGCCTACTTACATCAAAATATTGATGTTGCCTGTAATTAAATAGGAGCAGTACGATATAATTGCATGATTTTGAAAGCATTTATTTGGTATTCCCAGTAGCTTCCCTTTGAATATGTAACTTACTGTAATTGATTAGAAACTGAGTTGTTCATACATTCATCTTACTTACCTTAGAAAGGTAATTGTTGGTAGTGGAAAGAAAATAGACATAGGCTAGTGCAATTAGGAGTTTAATAAATGGACATCTGACCCTGGCAAGTTATTTCCACTCTGATTCAGAATTCTTGTTTCTATGATGTACCAAATAGAGCTAATTCTTATTATATACACACCTTTCATCTATTTTAATAAATTCCCTCTCCAATTTTCAGCTGGACAAATTTAATGTATTGTAAATAAATACATATTTATAATCTCTTATTTTAAGAGGGATCATTATAATAATAAGTTCAGGCTAATAATATATAAGTAGAAGTATTTTGTTACAGTTTAAACTTTATAAAAATTTCAGTACAATACTTTCTCATTCATACTTTCTCCTTGTTTCTGTCTGAAATTAGAAACTAGACCACAGGGTCTCTAGTAGATTCAGAGTTGTGCTTTCAGAGCCACTCGTCAAGGAAGAAGGAGTTATCCTTCCACCTTAGAGTATTGCTCTCTTGGGAGGACGTAAGTCATCTTGACCAAGATCCCACCACGTTTTCATAGCACCCTGCATTTAGTGAGCGATTAATGTGGGTAGAAAGCCCCAGCCTCTTGATCCAACACTGGACAACTCTGAAAAGCTATTATAGCTACAGAGCTCCCTGTACTGTGAGAAGAGACCTTGTTGTAACAGCTTTGCAGCCAGATTTATCCTCTGTTCAGTGCTGCTTCCTCTCCTTCCTACTAAGACATATATCCTAAGAGTAAATGCTAATAAATTTCTTTCACACCCATCTTTAATTCCGAGTTGATTCCAGGAAAACCCAACTGGCAAGATGTTAACTGTCAGAATGATGTCACCCATCAAGCTCAAGAAATGGAACCTAAGTTGCTAAGAACTTTATGTGGTAGAAATGTTATAGCAGTCCTGGAAGAAAAATAAAATGTATCTTGTTTACATCTTTTTATTATAAAGCTCTATTATTCACAAGCAAACATAATCTGAAAAAGTTAATAATCATTCAACATTGTTTTAAAATATTTCAAAGACTAGCATTTCCAGCTTACATGATATAGTGTTTGGGGTGGATATAGAAAATGATCAGTGAAAATTCCCATTCTTATATCTCTCTATTCTTTCTTTTATTGCTGTCCATTGAATAATTTTTGGAATATTGATTGTAATTTTAATATATCTAATTTTGTAATAAACCTGAGTAATTTAAGGGATTCAATTTTTCTTTACCTGAAATCATATTTATCATTTTTATAAATATAAAGCAAATATATTTGTGAATAGTTTTTATTAAAATTTAGAAAAATGGACTAACTTGATTTTTAAACCAATAAGTTAAATATAAATAATATGAACTGTAAGTTTAAATAACTTGATTTTAAACCATCCCTCTGTCACTTATTAATTGTGTGACTTTGGACATACTGCATGAACTACAAATCTATACTTCTTCACCTATAAGAGTAGTAAGAAAGTTACCTTCCATTAAGGTGTTGTTGTGACTATTGAGGTAGATCCAATATATAGACCTCATATATATACTTATATATACTTCATATAAAAAAGCTGTTAATTGTCACTATTTTAATGTCATCCCATTCTCAACTTTACTGATTGGTACTAATTTGTGGGATACAAAAAATTATTTTCTAATCAAAATTTTAACAACTCTTCCCAACTTTAGAACTTTTGCCAAACATATATTATTGTATATTCTTGTGATTTTGTATGCTTAACATGTGTTGAATCCATCATTAAGCTTTCAAAGAATGGTCTGATTACTACATTTAAGAGCATCAATTCCATATCTAATTTCCCAAATTACTGTCTTAAAATATTACTTGTTTCTTAAAGACTCTTTCTCTATTAATGAACTTTCAGGGAATCAAACTAAGAAAAAAAAAAGGCTCAGTGTTAAAAAGTTAAAAGACCAGAACTGGTAAAGCAATGGAAATATCATTATGATTGAAATAGGTCGGTTTATTGAGACTAATTGCTTTTTAAAAGTTAATACAAGATATGTACACATTTAAAATTAGATGCAGATGTATTTTTAAACCTGTGTATTCCAGACAAGAAAGAAAATACATTGAGCAATGAGTTGGCCAACGTTTAAAAACAGGACAGCCACATCCTCAGAGCTGGAAGGCACTCTGATCCATAATCGTGTATTTGATCTCAGTGTTGAAAAAAATAAGTTTATTTGAAGGTTTTTTCCTTCTCATTTCATATTCCTGCCTTTTAAAAAATTGCATTGAATGATACTGATATTGCATAAAGCAGATAGCAACAAGAAAAGAGTGTAAAATAATAGTTTTGGCTATTCTTAGTGATCTGATCATTGTCTGACTTTGAAATAGTTTAGTGTCAAATTTAATTGTTTTTCTGTGTTAATGCATGTATCTTTTAGGGAAGTCAAGCGATAGAAACCATACAACAATTTGACAGAGAAAAGTTAACATGTAAATAATAACTACAGGTTAAATGTGAATTATTAAAAGAACACTAATGAATAAAAGAATATCAAATATAGGGAAGAACCACTCTCTTGAGGGCTGAAACAGAGGAAACAAAGAAAAACAAATGAAAAAGCTCCTTCAATTCCAATCAGAACCCGAATTTCAGACTGTGTTGAAGAGTTTTTGGCCTTGAGTTACTGGATGGGAAAGTCATGGAGGTACCATAAGTTAGGACAACCAAGCAGTGAACAATCCTCTGTTGTGCTGATTAAATTAACTGAAAACCTTGTGCAGAGATGCTTAGGAAAGCCTAAGGACATTGTTGGAATTCTGCTTTCTGACTTACCATGCAACTTGCCATGAACTCAGGGAAACTCACTGGGAAGCCGTTTCCTGAGGAGATGTTGAAACAGGATGGGGGTGAGTGACTATGAACATTCTCCATATCGAAGTCATGACAGATGAGAAAAGGGAACGCAAGCACAATGGAATGAAGGAGAGAAGCCACTTTCTCCTTCAAGGAACCTCCAATACCTTCTACCTGTAAATTTTAAGATTGTGCGAGGCATCATGGGAAAAATGTTTAGAGAGCCAAACTATATTATTGCACTGCAAGCAATGAAATATGAATGTGGAGTTCTAATTCAATAAATTGATAACCAGCACAGTCCAATGATATGAAATATGATATGCTTGAAATTAAAACAAAGTGTGACATTAAAATACCTCTGCAAATAAATTACTCTTTTTCATTTTAATGTTACCTTTGTCCACTGATTAGTATATTGGTTATTAGGATATTAGTTATATTAGTATATTAGCATAACATCAGATAGAGATCCTCTTGAATTTCATGATTGACCATCCTAAGAACTGCTTGCTAAAATTTAGAGCTCATTATGTTTGGGCTGGGCGCGGCAGGTCATGCCTGTAATCCCAGCAGTTTTGGAGGTCAAGGCAAGGTGAGTCACTGGAGGCCAGGATTTCGAGACCAGCCTGAGTAACATGGTGAAACCTCATCTTTACAAATATAGAAAAATTAGCCAGATATGGTGGTGCATGTCTGTGGCCCCAGCTATTCGGGAGGCTGAAGTGTGAGGATCGCTTGAGCGATCCAGGATCATGCCACTATGCCACTCACTCTGGCCTGGGGGACACAGTAAGATATAAGACTGATTCCAAAAAACTAAAACAAAACAAAACAAAAAATAATTCTTCTATATTCAGTAAATATTCTGTAATGTCATCAGTTAACCTCAAATCCATATGTGTGAGCTTTTAAATTAATAAGATACTGTATTTCAGTAATAATCTTGACAACATTTATAGTATTGCAATAGAATGTAATGTACTCAATTAAAAATAAATATTTGCAATTCAGTTAAGACTAAAAAATGTTATAAACATATGTAAATATGTAGTTGTGTGTCCATCTAATACTCAACATGGCAATGAATGCTGTAGTTGTAAATTTTAAAAAATACTATTTCTCTATGGAATAAATTATATAAGACTAGTGTTTCATTTCTGTGTGTAACCTTGTAGTATTTGAGGGTTTCAATGTGTATAGTTAATGATTTTTTTAACTACTCTTAAGTAGGAGAAAATGGAGATATGTTGCTAATAATAAAACTCAATTTTTCTTATCAATTATGAATTTTGACTTAGTCTTTAAGGCATGGCAAAATGAAACTGGATTAGCATTTGTCAGAGAAAAGTAGGACATGTAAAGCAACAACCTCGCTTTGCTCCAAAATTAATAAAATATTACATTGCTTCTTAGTCTCGGGTCTATTTTATTTATAAATAATTTTACTAAATCACATATTATAAATTAGGTACACATTCAAGTAATTTATTAAATATTTTATTTTAAAATTATAAACCACCTGCTGATGTTTTAAGTATGAAGCTGAGAATTTAATAGCGTCATTTTAACAGTAAGGCATGGTTTGCAGAACAATTCATTTACTTCTCAGATGGATGTTCTTCCATGTACCTCCACTGGAGTTAGACACACAGATAAGCCTGAGGAAATAGCTGGTTAGATTTATTTACACTCCACAGCAGGGTGACTCAAGGAGAAACAGAGTTCCATATAATTTTGAAACTTCCAAGTTGATAACACACACACGTACACATAAACACATTTTCAAAAAGGAAACAAGGGTTGCCTCAAAGTAAGAGTAAAATAGCCAGGATATTAAGTATTTTGCTTGAACTCTAATAAAATCACTTCTTAGATAAGTATTTTAAGAAGAAATCGGGTCTTTATCACTTAATATTAAGCAGGTAGTAGCTAATTTCAGGCCTTGCAATGGTTTAATCTCTACATTTCTTTATATTTGGTCTGTTTTTGACAAAAACAAATGCACAATAAAACAAAAAAAAACCTTTGAAATCCTTCATGAAAAGAATACTCTAATTAGGTAAATAATATTCCTTCTAATGTAAAGCAATGCTTCTACTGAAACGAATTTATGTACTCTAATATCCAACATGTCATAAAATTATAAATCATTTACATATTGAAAAATAATAAAGTGATATTTAATATTTTCATACAAGTTTTCAGGTAGATATTTATTATATTAAAAATAAATAATGGACAAAATATTTAATTAAGAACTAACAATGTAGAAATCAAATGTCTGCTTTTAACCCAAAGCCTTTTCAGAATCCCAAAGGCATATAGATGCAAGAAAAATAAGACTAATTGTTACAAAGAGAGGGAATAACTGTCTAATTCGTTCAGAAAAATCTCAAATGGAAACATTGTTGTGATGATACTATTAAGATTTTTTTAGCATGAAGTAGGATTAGTACAGGGAGTTTATGAAAAGAATGTCTGGAATTCTACTTGATTCTTGCACTGAAACATTGACAATAGTTTTCATGTCCAAGTTTTGCTTCCTGTGGACTGAGGTACCCAAATTAGAGGACCTTGCTTAAATGTGATTTTTAAAAGGCAGATAGTAGGGAGAATAGAGGTTGCATCACGCTAAGTAAGTGAAAGTTGTCAAAACCAACATAGAAATAGATTTAATAAAAACAAGAATCGGCCCGGCGCGGTGGCTCATGCCTGTAATTCCAACACTTTGGGAGGCCGAGGCGGGCAGATCACGAGGTCAGGAGATCGAGACCATCCTGGCTAACACGGTGAAACCCCGTCTCTACTAAAAATACAAAAAATTAGCAGGGCGTGGAGGCGGGTGCCTGTAGTCCCAGCTACTCCGGAGTCTGAGGCAGGAGAATGGCGTGAACCCGGGAGGCGGAGCTTGCAATGAGCGGAGATTGAGCCACTGCACTCCAGCCTGGGCGACAGAGCGAGACTCCGTCTCAAAAAAATAAATAAATAAAATAAAAAACAAGAATCACCTAGTCTTATGGCAAGGTTAAAAACCACCTAACTGCTTCCAGCAATTTATTCATTATTCTTCACATTAAAATTAATTTCTGAAATAAATGCTAAATTTCCAGGTAAGGGACCTGGAACAAGAGCAGGAAGACAAATAATGAGAGGGTAAAAGTTCCCTAATATTCACACTAGAGAATTCCAGAATGAAGTAAAATATACATATATATATATATATATATATATATATCTCCTCATTGACAGGTATAAAATGATTTAAAAATGGGCCAATCCAGTCTCTGAAAATATTCCATTATAAAATCAATTTCAGGAAAAAAGTTACAGGACAACTTTTTTTACAAATGAAAATATACAAAAGCACTTCTAATTTTTTATTAACATAAATCATGGAATGATTATAAGCAATTATATTAAATGGTCCTTGATATAACAGAATCAACATAATAAAAATAATGAATTCTTGCAAAAATGTTGTATTCCAAATAAGATTAAAAAGGAATATATACATATATGTACGTTATATATACAAAATATAAAAAATATATAGTATATATGCATATACTTTAAATATGTGTATTATGTATAATACATATAAAAGAGGAAATATGTATCAGAATATTATTTCACAAGAAAAACATAATTACTGAACTTGAAAATATAGCACTAATAGTTAATATACCTACCAACACTGCGACAGAGACACAGGGATCAGCTCTAGCACTCTTCCTAATTCAAAATAAAAGGATTCCCAAACTAATATTGATGAGCAAACATTATAAGAAAGTTGGAAAATAGTTTTTTGAAATTTGTATAGTAGAAATTACAGAAGTAAATGTAAAAAATGTAAACAACAATACAGTGAAGAGTTAAAAATAAATTTCCTGTGCTAAGTAAATATATACTTTATGTGAAGACATTTTATGGGGTATTAAACAAAATCAACAAATGGAAAATAAATTAGCAACTAGGTATCTTCTAATAAAATTTCTGAATGTCAACATTAAAATATATATTTCAAAAGTTGAATAAAGGATATGGAAGATAAAATATCAGAATGACCTCAGGCTCCTCTGTCATGATAACAACATAGAGAAGTCAAATTTGTACTATGGCAAGAGAGAAGGAGAGGTAGGTATCATTTTGGTTCACAAGAAATAGGAATTAATTCTTTATTCATATCATGGCCCAATTTTCAACTCATCAAAAAAATTCTTGGAAGTTTACTGAATAAAAGGAATATATTTGATTGAAAAGTTATTTCCTGACATTATCCTAGATATTCATTTTATTTTGTAAGTTTCTTTTCATTTTATAGCTTCTCCAACTAAAATATGAGTATCATGTTAGTATATACTCATAATTCAACATCCAGACTAATTTCTTTTATGTAATAGTTACTCAACAGATCACTATTTCGTGAATTAATCAACTTTTAGATATGTAAATGTTTATAAATTGTATGGTATAATCTACTCAATTTATAAACATATAAACACATGTAAATGTTTATAAATTGAGTACATTATACCCTACAAACAGAATTTTAAGCATAGATCAAATGCATAATAAAAATACGATAATATATAGATCAATAGAACTTAAAATTAATATTTACAAAAAATTTGGTTTCCAGGAAGATGGAATTGATACATGTCCTCTCTTTCTTTCAATAAGTACAAATATAAAAACTGGACAAAGCATGTCAAAAATACATAAGAAGGCTCTAAAAAGTTGGAGAGAGGACTTGGTGACCCTCAAAAAGACAAGATGCTGAGTTCACTAAGGTTTCCTTTTTTTCCCACAAAAATTCAGATTTTGACTTGAAGAAACTGACAACACAAATACCATAGCTAGCTCCCCTATCCCCCACAGACTCACCTGTCTCTAGTCAAAACATCAGGAAGAGTGCAGCTAGCATAACAGACAACTTTCAGAAATAACCAATCCCCTACATCTAAACAACACGGAGAAACAAACAACAACAAAAAAGAAACAAACAACAACAAAAAAAACATTAACCTAAATCCCGCACATGCAAGCAAAACCTGAGTGGGAAGCGTGAGCTTCACCCCACTGTAACAAGGCATCCCAATATCCCTGAAGTGACCTCAAAGAAGGTCAGTTTAGAAGCCAGGATATCATTATTGCGCTATCCCTCTCTCCACTGGCACAATGTCAGAAGAGGTATAGGGGAGAGTCAGAGCTTTGACACAGCTTGTCCCACATGGTGTCAGTGTAAACTAAGTTAAACTCACACCTGCCCTTCAATAAGGAAGACAATAGCTTGTTGCCTGTCAAATAACTTATAGTGGAGAACCTGAACTTGTACTTTCACCTATCAGTAACGAAGCAGAACCTTCCCCATTTCCATGCTAACCAGTGTCGGAAAATGTCAGCTGAAACAGGAGATTAAGATTCAGGGTCACATGACAGTGTATAAAAACATCCATATTTCAAAAGAAAGTATTAATCATACCAATAATCAAGATCTCAACCTAAATTAAGAAAGTCACCCAATAGATACCAACACCAAAATGGTAGAATTATCTGACAAGATTTTGAAGAAGCCATGATAAAGAAGCTTCAGTGAGCAATTATGAGCATGAATGAAACAAGTGAAAAAAAATTGGAAGTGTTAGGAAAGAAATAGAAAGTCTTTACAAACAATAGAAGATATAAAAAATGAAAGAACTGAAAATACAATAAATTCAGATTATGGGCTCAATAGTAACAAAATGGAGAAGACAAGAAAAAAAGTCAGTGGTTGAAAAAAAAAGAACAATAGTTATTACTGAATCTGTGCAACATTCTTTTTTTCAGAAAACGCCCTGAAAAATTAAAGAGGCATTTATAACATAAAATCTAATTTTTTAACATTGGAAAACAGAAAGGGTAGAAGAATGAGTGGGGCGAAAATTATATTCTAAGAAATACTGGTGAAAAATTTCCCAAATTTGGCAAGATACATAAATAAAAGTACAGATTCAAGAACCAGACCAAGGTCTACCAGAATAACCTCAAAGAAATCCATGCCAATACACTTCATAATTAAGCTTGTATAAACTATAATCAAACTATTTTGAAAGCAGCCAGGTTTAAGTGATATCAGAGAAAAAATTAGAAGGCAGGAGGTTTGTTGCCCAAAACCATGAGTTCAGATGGAAGTGGCAAAATGTTTTTCAGATGTTGAAAGAAGAGAATTGTTAACTCAAAATCCTATGTAATAGTATCCACTTACCCACGGGTTGGCTTTCTGTGGCTTTGATTGCCTGTGGTCAGTCATGGTTCAAAAATGGTAAATGGAAATTCCATTAAAATCATTAATAAGTTTTAAATTGTGTGCCATTCTTAGTAGTGTGATAAAATCTTATGCTGTCATGCTCTGTCCTGCCTGGATATACTAACTTGATAAAATTTCATATCCTCAGAAATATTAGGATTTTGAACCAGATGATTCTTATTGCAGAGGGCTTTCTTGTGCCTTGAAGGAAGTTTTGGAGCATCCCTGGTCTCTATTCTCTAGTTGCCTGTAGTTGCCCTACTCCAATCAAAGCAATTTCCATCAGAATAACTCAAGATATTGCAGAATGTTCTGTGGATGGTAGGGGGTAATAGCTCCCATAAAGACCACTGATTAGACATTAAATAATATATTGACATCCCACTTTGAAAATTAAATATTCAAATTGCCTACAAACACGATTACCTCTCCTTTCCTTTAAGTGATTGAATTTTATACTTTTCATGTGCTTTTTGAGTTATCTTTCAATTTTTAATAGTATCCATGAGACTTCATCTTTTAATCTATTCATTTATAAAAACCTATTTATAGATTACTCATCATGTGTGACCCTCATGTTCCCCTCAACTTAATATTTCTTCTTATCTACTTTAAAAAGTCTCTCAGGTATGCATTTACTTTTAAATTATCAAGATAGGTCATAGTTACACTGTATTCCATAAAGTTATGAAAAATATTATAGCAACATTGCAAAAACAGATAACTAAAGAGGCAAGACCATCAACAGAAATAAATGAGAACTCATGTCATATAATCGGAGATAATAGTAAACTGGATAGTGCATGACTGATACTGTTTTTCATAGAGGTTATACTAACTTACACTTTCTCCAAGAGTGAATAAGTGTTTTCTTTTCACTCCATCCTCACCAGCATCTATCATTTTTTACTGTTGAATAGATGTCACTCTGACTGGTGTAAGATGGTATCTCATCATAGTTTTAGTTATTTTCAAATGATTAGTGATGTTGAATTTTTTATCATTTTCTTGGTCATTTTTATGTCTTCTTTTGAAAATGTCTGTTCATATCCTTTGCCCACTACTTTTTTAATCTTAATAAATATTTTATATTTAATTGTTGTGGGTAGATAGTAGGTGTACATATTTATGAGGTACATGAGACTTTTCACACAGGCACACGATGCTTAATAGTCACATCAGGGTAGATAAAATATCCATCACTTCGAGCATTTATCCTTTCTTTGTGTTACAAAATATCCAATTCTACTCTTTTAGTTATTTTTAAACATATGCTAACTTATTGTTGACTATAGTCACCCTGATGTGCTATGAAATACCTTCATCTTGTCCTGAAACATGACAGGATCTCAATTCTTTTTTTATGGCTGAATAGTACTCCATTGTGTATAGGTACTATGTTTTATTTATGCATAGTCTGCTGGTGGACACTTAGGTTGCTTCCATCTCTACCCACTTTTAAATGAATTTATTTTTATCTTGAGTTGTTTCAGATCTTCGTAGTCTCTGGATATTAGTCATTTGTTGGATACATAGTTCGCAAATACATCCTACTTTATGCAGGTTTTTTGCTCAATCTATAGATTATTTTTTGATGTGCAGAATAATTTTAGTTTAATTAAGTCCCATTTAACCTTTTTTTGGATTTTTTTGAAGTCTTATCCATGAATTTTCTGCCAAGGCCAATGTCAAGAAGAATTTTTCTTTTTTTTTAGATTTTCTTCTCAAGAAAATAGGCACAGAAGAAACATATCATACAAAGGATTATGCTTTTTTATACACCAACTCTTTTAAATAATGTTTTATTTTTGGCCTCTTTTATATTTTGATGATGACTTTATTTTACAAAGATTTTTCATTCAGAGACTCTAACTGCTTTCACCGAGAGAATAAGGGTTTATTTTTCATTAAGGTAATACAAATTATATGTATTTTATCTGTAGCTTGTGATACTTTTCCATCATTAGAAGCTATTTTTATACCTATTGCCTTTCAAATTGAAAAAAAAAATGCTTTTTATACAGCGTACCTTTATCCTAATTTGTTTTGTTTTGAATTTTAACAACAATCCTGGCTCATTTTCAGTTTGGTCTTTTCTGTTTTTTTTTTTTTTGTTGTTGTTGTTCTAAATTCTCTCTTTCTTAATTTGAATATTAATGTTGGACTGAAGTTGTGTTTTGTTTTCTCAAAAAGAATAAATGATGAGCGTATTTTTTAAATCTGTTTGTCTATTAAAGTCATTAAATTACCTATGCAATTTCATTAATATAATATATGATATGAAATAATATTTCCAAGATATATTGACATCCAAATTATTACGGTCCTTTTTTTATTATCTTTTATCTACCGGTATTACTGATGAAAAGTCTGATATTAGTCTGATTTCTTGCCTTTGTAGCTGACCCAATTCTATTTCTCTCTCTCTCTCTCTCTTTCTGTCTCTCATATACACATAAAACACAATATTTTAAAATCCAACCTCATAGACACTTATTTTGTGGTGTACTTTCAAGGAGTCATTACATTTTCCTAACTTTTTGATGGTGGTGGTGGGCCATATACAGCAGCTGCCGCGGTGGGAGAGGCTGGCCGGAGCTGCACACTCCGCAGAGCAGGTGGGGGCCGGAAACAGACGATCCCAGCAGAAGCCCCACGCCCTACCGAGTTGGTGGGATGGCAGCCCACGCCCTCGCATGCAGCTGCAGCCTCTCAACGGTGGCTCCGCACCTGGGCATCCCTGCGCTCTCAGGGGCCGGGAAGTCCCCTGCTCCCTGCAGGCTCAGAAGTGCCTGCTCCGGCTCCCTGGCATCTTCCCCCTTCCAGCACCAGCTCCTTGATGGAGCAAAACTGTGGATGTGTCCTGATAGCCGAGCCTGGACACTGTCACAACCTGGCCGAGTGTATGTGTTCTCAGGGCGTCGCTGACATGCCAGCCACCTGCTGCTTAGACCCCCTCTGGTAACTGCTTCTGAGGCCGAAACTTTGGGCACTGAAGGGCATGGGAGGTAGATGACGGGGCTGAGGGCAGCTCGGCGCGAGCCTGCATGTGACCCTTGGCATGGACAGCCTGGGTGCAGTGGACAGCATGTTGATGACAGCAGGAGGCAGACAGGTTCCTAGGCAAGAAGGGGTGGGTCCCCGGTGAGGCCGAATCTTCAAGCCAGGAATGGCCTGAACCTGGAAGGCCAGCCTCCTGGTTCTGATCACGACTCAAATTGAGAACAACCTTGATGCCTTTCAGCCAATCAAGTGGTGCTTTTTCCGGGACCACCCATGGCCCAATCAGCACACACTTCCTCCATTCTGAGCCCATAAAAAATCCCTGGGCTCCGCCAGACTCACACTCATTGGGACAACCTGCCTGTGGGTAGGAGCTGCCCATTTCGGGTCCCTCTTCTGCTGAGAGTGGTTCTGTCACTCAGTAAAGCTCCTCTTCTCCTTGTTCACCCTCCAATTGTCCATGTAACCTCATTCTTCCTGGAAAAGACGGTAAGAACTTAGAACCTGCAGAATGGCGGGAACAAAAGTAGCTGTAACACTTTCCTGGATGGCTCACCAAGTTGTGGCGTGGGCGGGGGTGCGGGGGGAATACTCTCCCAGACTGGAGGAATGAAGTGTGTCGACCTTTCTCGGGGCCCAGACCTCAGGATTCCTCAAGCCAGAGCTGTAACACTATAGCCCTCTCGCCCTCTGAGTCGCCCCACGTGATGGGAAGCAGTGATGGGGCCAGGCCAGCCCAGGAGCCATGGACCACAGCAGAGTGGCATGGCTGAAAGAGCTAGGACCACAGCAGAGTGGCATGGCTGAAAGAGCTATAACACAAATGGGCTGAAACACAGCCCCCTGAAATATGCGCCGCCCACCGTGATGCAGGAGATGAGAGGGAGAGAAGAGCTGTGGCACTTCTGGGATCCCAGACCTCAAGGTTCCCTGAGTCAGGGCTGTGCCATACTGTAACACCCTCTTTGGGGCTCTGCGACTCCTGGCCTCTCCAAGCTTTCCAGCCACCACCACATTCCCCTCGGCCAGACGCTGGTGCCTGCAGCAGAAGTCCAGTGCAGTACGCCTGGTCCAGGCACAGCCTTGCAAGCAGCCGGTGCCTGTGCCGGCGCCTGGAGATGCCCGCCCCACCACAGCCGCCGGCACACCTGGCTGTGCGCAGTGGCCGGAGCCCTCGCTTGCTCGCTCACACATCCTTCGCTGCTCCACATCTGGCTCGCCTTTGGCGGGCATGGGATTCACACGTCTCATGAAATTTTGTGAGGTTGGTAGGGTGAGCCAATGCAGGCTGCCGGGCCAAGTGTGCCGAATGAGCCCAGCGGGCAGTAGCAAAACTCAAACAGAGGCGCCGCTGGCAACAAAGGTTTCTGGCTGGTGAAGCAACACCTGAAGGAGCCTGTAACACCATGAATACGTCTAATATATGATTAGTCTGGAAATTTCAGGTTCTACATTTTCTCTCTTCTCTCGGAATCTCTTGTCAAATATTGGGCCATTTGGGTTGATACACTCTTTATCTATTTGTAATTCACCATAACTGCAGTGTTATACTTGATGTAAGTCTCCAAAAGATTAAACGTCATCTTACTGATTGCTTAATCAAGAGACCCATTTTCTGATCAATGTTGTGATTAAAATCATTGATGCTATTAATGGCAGAAAAGGTTGTTGCCTGTATTTATACATTTATTTGGAAGTTGTGTATTTTGTTTAGGGCATATTCTTTATGTTCTTTAGGAATGCATAGTGATGACACTAGCTGTTATATATTTTTATATATTTTCTGCTAACTGTTCCTCGATGATGAAGTGTTATTCTCATTTATACTGATTTTTTTATATGCTGGTATCCTTGGTTATTATTCATATTAAAATGTATAATAGATTGTGTTTCTAGAAATAATTTATGGTATTCCTCTCTTATGTGTTTGCATATGTAATCAAATGTGTGTGTGTGTGTGTGTGTGTGTGTACATATCTATTTGATAATCTGTTTCACTGACAGGTCTTTCCCTAAAAAGAAAAAAAAATGATTTGTGTAAATATTGCCACTAGGCTGTCTTTGCTTAATGGTAAGAAAAAACTTATTTTTGGAAACAAACGAGAACAATCTAACCCTGGAACACCAGGATTCACAACTGAATCCCTAATTGACTCCAGGCAATTAATTCAGATCCTCTATTGGTTAGCCCTCAGATTTTTACTGGGGTTAATCTTTATGATACCATCTGTATTGAGATGAAATAATTCAAGAGCTGAATGGTAGAGTGCTTTCATAACTATCCCTGTAATTAATGAGCTTGTTTTCAGCCTGAGTTTCACATGCTCTTCATGTTGATACTATGGTTGGAAAAACCCCAGTGGTCTGGCTGGAAAGTTGACTCCCACTATCAGTGCAGTCTGATATTGAACCTGTATTGGAACAATGCTAAACTCTTTCATCCTCTGACATCTCTTCTTTTATATATATATAATCTCAACTTTGGTGGGTTTGTTTCCTTTCATGTCACTTTATTTTCATATTAATAAGATCTGTTGAAGAAGGAGGGAGAAAAATACAAATGCCTATTTCACCATCTTGCTGGTGAATCAAATAAATATGTACTGAGTACTGAGTTTTCAAAATCTTCACACTGATATCTGTAAATGTAATATTGTCCCCTGCTTTTCAGAAAAATAAAAGTTACAAGATTTGCCAGAATCTGTAATATTTTTAAAAACTGGATTATTTTTAATTATATTGGATATACAATAATTTGTATGTTTAAATCAAAGTCTGATCTAAAATTGTCTAATCTCTTAATTAATGTACTTAGTAAATGCAAATCAATGATGATCACAAAAAAAGAAATTCACTAATATGACAGCAACATTAAGACACATATATGTATATGTGACTATACATACTCAAGTAAGAGCAATATTGGACATGACTAATGGATACGGTAAGGTTGGTTCACGCATCTCATGATGTTTTGTGAAACTATTAAGGAAAGTGCACTTGACATACCATATCATTGGGTTAATTACATTCTGTCATGCTTCAGGTTTATTCATTATAATTTAAGACATACACTATTTTAAGAGTATATTATAACTCACCTTTATCGTGTATAAGTGCTGTGTCATTTTCTGCTTACCATTTTTTTATCATGTGCTGTCATACTTATTTGATGGTCATTCTAAATTCTCAGTGAAGAGACAAATCGCATATCTCTAACATTATGTAATATCAAGTTTTTAATAGTATTTATCCTGATATGTATTTGACATTGAGAAATTATCTTCCATTATTAGCTGGGTAGTTAATGAACAGTATTGACTTTTTATTTCTGATTTTCTAATTAAGAAGAAAGCACAGAATACATTCTTAAGATCAAATTTAATCATTTCCTGTTGGAGGCTTTATTTCTTTTATGTCTTTGTGACTCACTGTGATGTTTTACTTTATTCTCACTCCTAGCCCATAAGATTTTGTCTGCTATTATGTTTACCTTTTGTTGGACAGCAAAATAAAATAAATTATGATGATCCTAAAAATTCAACAAAATGAATGTTTTGACTATTCAGCTTCAAAAATTTGGTAAGTGCAAAAATCAATGCATGATTTAGGAATATAATGTGATATAATTTCTAGACAGATTTTTCAAAATAAATAGTCCAATTAATGCAGGGCTGTATCTCTTAAGAGTCCTTATCTTAATTTTAATCTTTATGGTACTTTCCTAAATTATAATCCTGGTAAGGAAAGGGATAGCAGCTAGTCTGTAACCTTGGGGGAACACAAAAATAAGAATCAGTAAAATGATTCTGTAAAAATACTCATGAAACTTTTGATGTCCTCCTTATGATGTCTTTTAACAGAAGAAACACATTCTGTCCGTGTCGCTTATGGTCCAAAATTTGAAATTTATGTTATATGGCTGATGACTACTGAAGAATGTCAGATACAGCATTATTGGACAAAAAAAGGTGGCAATATTTTCTGACTGAAATAGGTCCCTTTTTGAAAGCGATGCTTCTTTGTGTATCACTTAGATACATCATATGCTGGATCTCAGTCTGGGTGCACTCAAACAGCTAAGATGAACCCAAGAGCTGTCTCAAACTTTATGTTTCACCTGTGTCTTTTGATCTCTTCTGTCTTTTGATTTATTGGTAAAATGTAATAATGATTAAGATCTCCAATTGCTGTGAGTCTGATTTGATGACCCAGCTACAGGTGTGTTATGTCAGTGTCATTCATCTATTTTCAAAAAGTGGTTCCTTAGTAAGAAAATTACAAATGTGGTTTTGTATTGAAAAAGCAAGAAATATATCTCCATAATTACAACAAGATACGATTCCTTTTGTCAATATCTAGTGCTGTTTGTATTTGAAATTCAACAAGGCAAAGACCCTGCGAGGTTTGAAGGAGAATAACTTGTTCAATACTGTGTATGTTGACAATGTCCCTTGTAGATCAATTACATTTAAGACTTTATTTAGAATTTGTAAAATCTCTGAATTCACTACAGTTGTTCTTCAAATCCATAAGTTTAGTTATTAATCTGAAATTTCCTGTAGAAATCAGGTTGCAGAACTTTGTGAAAATGTGTACAAGAAACCCATGGGATTAATACCGTCAACAAACAGGAGAAAAATGTTTTCATTTTTTAACATAAAGCTTTGTGCTTGTAGAAATTTGAATTATATCGTATATAGATGTAGAATTGCCCTGTTAATATCCAAGAATATATAACTTCAATATTGAATATTATATTAATATTTTAACATAGATACCGCATAATCAAATAGACATTAGAGTGTGAAGATTTCAGAAATTTTGATTCTGTGTATTAGAGTAGGTAATGTTTTGTTCTAATCTTCATATAATACAGTGGGAGAAAACAGGGAAAACTTATACAATAGAATATAGTGTAGTGTAAGAATCAACATCATGAAGAAAAACCCTGAAAACACATTAACATTTTCAATACCTTAATTTATCTTTTAGGAAAAATTACTTAGTTATAGTAGTATAACTCTATACCATATACTATATAGTATAGTATATAGTATAATATAGTGTAAATTCATTGTAATTTTTTTAAGAAATGAGAAAAAAGTTTATACCATTGAAGTGGTGCACCAAAGACCTCGCAGGGTCTTTTCCTTGTTGAATTTCAAATACAAAAAGTACTAGATATTGACAAAAGGAATCTTATCCTGTAATTATGGAGATCGATTTCTTGTTTTTCAATACAAAACCACATTTGTAATTTTCTTACTAAGGAACCACTTTTTGAAAATAGTAGATATTAGTATATAGTATATATTAATATATAGTAGATATTAGTACATACTATATATTAATATATAGTAGATATTAGTACATACTATATATTAATATAGTAGATACTAGTACATACTATATATTAATATAGTAGATACTAGTACATATTATATATTAATATAGTAGATACTAGTACATACTATATATTAATATAGTAGATACTAGTATCTACTATATATTAATATAGTAGATATTAGTATCTACTGTATATTAATATAGTAGATATTGGTATATACTGTATATTAATATAGTGTATATTGGTATATACTGTATATTAATATAGTGTATATTGGTATGTACTGTATATTAATATAGTGTATATTGGTATGTACTGTATATTAATATAGTGTATATTAGTATGTACTGTATATTAATATAGTGTATATTAGTATGTACTGTATATTAATATAGTGTATATTAGTATGTACTGTATATTAATATAGTGTATATTAGTATGTACTGTATATTAATATAGTGTATATTAGTATGTACTGTATATTAATATAGTGTGTATTAGTATGTACTGTATATTAATATAGTGTGTATTAGTATGTACTGTATATTAATATAGTGTGTATTAGTATATACTGTATATTAATATAGTGTGTATTAGTATATACTGTATATTAATATAGTGTGTATTAGTATATACTGTATATTAATATAGTGTGTATTAGTATATACTGTATATTAATATAGTGTGTATTAGTATATACTGTATATTAATATAGTATATATAGTATAGTACATAACTATGTCTAATACATATAGTATATATAATTATATTTACTATATATATAATATATAACTATATAGTATAGATCATGTATCATGTAACATTTCAGAGGAAAGATTGTTTTGTGGCATCCTAAAAGTAACAAGACAATTTATATTTCTTTGCATATTTCGATGGATGACTATGGCATGAGGATGTAATATTACAGTGTTCTTAACTTGTTTGTTTATGAAAGCAGATGCACTCTAGAAAAATTCCATGATGCTGTTACAATAAAGCAATAATCCATTTATAAGTGCATAAATGGTATATCACTTAAATGGTATAACCTTTTTTCTCTTTTTTTAAAAAAAAAATTACAATGAATTTACTGTGTCAATTGGTTTTTTTGTCTGGTTACAGAAAAAAAGTGGTAGGTCTTATAGCTAGAACAGCTCTTATCACTAAGTGCTAACAGCATAATCCATTCCAAAAAAGTAGTTCTACTTAATGGACATTAGTTACCCTGAGTATGTGTAGATTAATTGGAAGGGATATTTGAATTTTTCACATGGTTGTGTTATAATAGTTTACCCTTAGTTTGAAGTAGCAGTCTTCAATATTGTAAAAAACAATATTCTTGAAACTTATTTTCCCTAAATAATTATAGTATGCCCTTTGAAAATATATACAGATAAAGCAAATGAAGGTATACATTGAATAGTCTTACCTATTACATATGCTTTAAAAAATCAGATGGAATTTTAAGCTAGCAAAATTTGGAGGAGGTGGATAAGTTATAAATTGGCATGAATCACTTTACTGGCAAATGATTCTGAAACTCTTTTGATTACCGATCATAAAACTTTTAAAGTGTCTATTTATTTGTTCATTTCTAGCCCACTTGTTTTCTTTTTCAGGGATTGTAGATCATTAAGAAAAAAATGTGCATAATGTGTAATTTTTCTTAATTGCCTTAAATACAGTTCAGACAAAGGCTTATTTTCCGAATTCCATAGAAATAATATTCTTGATTACAGTCTTGTTTTCAGTTAAGGGTTTAAATTGCCTTGGATTTTCAATTTTTATAGTAATATAACTCGTATTAGACATAGTGTATTTTTTACTCCTGAAGAAGAATTAGAAGTTATTTTTGATAAATGGAAAACTGAGGAAATATCTGAATTGTTAGGTCGAGAGTATTATGATCAATATATACTTCAGAGACAAGGGGAATTATACAAATGGCGTAAAGTACTTACAAGTAGATATTTAATTTGTTTCTGCAGAAATAATCAAATTTATCAGTATTGAACCTTTGTGTACATGCCATTTTGGCTTTAGAACAGAGCAAATCATATTTGACTTTCTGTCTCTTTTAGGCTATGCAAACCCAAGATAAACTTGTACAATGAGAACACAAATTTTATTTTACCTATGACTTGGTTTCTATCTGCCTTTGTCTCAGTGATCCTGAGAAACTGTATGTGTGTGTGTGTGTGTGTGTGTGTGTGTGTGTGTGTGTCTTGAGCATATTATAGCTGAATTTTCAGAAACAGTTTGCTTAAACTGTCTGAGAGTTATGATTATATTCTCATCACGGTATTTAGATTGATAGACACATGGGGAGTACAGACTATGAAAATCTGAACTGTTTTATTGTTTGTTTGTTTGTTTGTTTGTGTGTTTGTTTGTTTGAGACGGAGTCTCGCTCTGTCGCCCAAGCTGGAGTGCAGTGGCGATATCTTACCTCACGGCAAGCTCCGCCTCCCGTGTTCACGCCATTCTCCTGCCTCAGCCTCCGGAGTAGCTGGGACTACAGGCGCCCACCACCACGCCCGGCTAATTTATTGTATTTTTTAGCAGAGACGGGGTTTCACTGTGTTAGCCAGTATGGTCTTGATCTCCTAACCTCGTGATCCTCCCGTCTTGGCCTCCCAAAGTGCTGGGATTACAGGTGTCAGCCACCGCGCCCAACCTGACCTGCTTCTTTGTGGATCATAACAAAATCTCTAAGATACAACTGGAAATTTTTGAAAAAAAATGCTTCTTCTCAGAGTGGTTTCAAGGCAACTTTGCAAAATTATATTTTTTTGGTTTTGATTTGCTTTGAATTTTTGCTATGCCAATTAATCAATACAAAATTATTGATTCCTGAATTATTGATTAAATATTCCTGTAGAATGAATTATTTCTGGCAGCCTGTGGAAGGAAACACAGCCCTGTCCAGACTTTGATTAGTCCAATGAAACCTCCATCAAACTTCTGACCTAAGAACTGTGATGTAATAAATTTGTGTTATTTTAACTTACCAAATTTGTGGTAACTTGTTATGGTAGCAATGGAAAACTAATACAGTATGAAATTACAAATAGTAATTCTAGTTCAAAGATAATTTGTCCAGCCTACATTGCCTAGTTGACAAACCGATGTGAGATTTCAACACTTATTGGTCTTATACATTTCAGTAAGTCAAGAAAAATAACCTGTGACATAAAATAACAAAAGTTAAAGTAGAAAATTTTTAACGTTTCTTTAGAATTTAGAACGAACTACTTTATGAAAGCTTGCCACTTTCTACTTTTCTTCCTTTTTCTCTTTTTCCAACTTTTTCTGTTGTTTCTGAGCAATTTTTGAAAATAAAAGTTCAAAATGTAAAGGATCTATTTTATACTTGATTTTCAGAAATATTTGCTAATGTACTCAAAGAATCTCTATCTGTTCTAATTATTATTTGCACCTATATTACCTCTTTCATTCACTATTGACTTCTTAATATTTTATTACTGTATGCATTTTAGAGAAGGATTTGCTGTTGAACGACTCCTTAATTTTTTAAATGTAACATCAACAAACCATATTTGGAAAACAACCCAGAAAAAAGACTATATTTTACTCTGGAGATATTATCAAGATGGTTTAATTTGATATATGTATAATAATTTGATATATGTATAATATTTAATTTAATATATAATATGTTTAATTTAATACATACAATAATTTGTATGTTTAAATCAAAGTCTGATCTAAAATTGTCTAATCATTGTCTTAATATACTCAATAAATTCAAATCGATGATCACAAAAAGAAATTGGCAAATATGACAGCAAAATTAAGACATATATATTCACATGCACATATAGATATACACACACATTCAAGTGACAGCAATATTGGAAATGACAAATGAATATGGTAAGGTTGGTTCACACATCTTATGAAGTTTTTTGAAACTAGCTATTAAGGAAAGTGCATTTGACATACCGTATGACTGCATTAATTACATTCTGTCATGCTTCAAGTCTATTCATTATAATTTAGGAAGATATACATGATTCATTTTAAGAGTATATTACAACTCACCTTTATTGTGTATAAATTCTGCGTCATTTTCTTTTTACCATTTTTTATCATGTGCTATCATACTTACTTGATGGTCATTCTAAGTTCTCAGTGAAGGGACGAATCGCATATCTTTAACATTAGTTATTATCAAGTTTTTAATAGTATTTAACTTACCTCGATGTGTATATGACCTTGAGAAACTATCTTGCATTATTAGCTAGGTAGTTAATGAACAGTATTGACTTTTTATTTCTGATTTTCTAATTCAGAAGAAAGTACAGGCCAGGTGTGGTGGCTCATGCTTGTAATCCCAGCACTTTAGGAGGCCGAGGCAGTGGATCACATGAGGTCAAGAGTTCAAGAACAGCCCGCCCAACATGGTTAAACCCCTTCTCTACTAAAATACGAAAATTAGCCAGGTGTGCTGGCAGGCGCCTGTAGTCCCAGCTACTTGGCAGGCTTAGGAAGGAGAATAGCTTCAACCTGGAAGGAGGCAGTTGCAGTGAACAGAAATCTCACCACTGCACTCCAGCCTGGGAGACAGAGTGAGACTCCATCTCAAGAAAAAAAAAGAAGGAAAGAAGGAGAAGAAGGAGAAGAAGGAGAAGGGGAAGGGGAAGTGGAAGGGGAAGGGGAAGGAGAAGGAGAAGGAGAAAGAGAAGGAGAAGGAGAAAGAGAAGGAGAAGGAGAACAAGAAGAAGAAGAAGAAGAAGAAACATTTTTAAGATCAAATTGGATAATTTCCTATTGGAGGCTTTATTTCTTTTACTTCTTTTTGATTCACTGTGATGTTTTACTTGATTCTCCACCCTAGCCATAAGATTGTATCTGATATTATGCTTACCTTTTGCTGGATAGCAAAATTAAATAAATTATAATGGTCCTAAAATTCAACAAAATGAATGCTTTGACTCTTCATTTTCAAAAATTTGGTAAGTGCAAAATCAATACATGATTTAGTAACATAATGAAACACTTTTTCTAGACAGATTTTTAAAATAAACAGTCCAGTTAATGCAGGGCTGTATCTCTCAAGAATCTTTATCTTAATTTAATTTTTATGATACTTTTCTGAATTATTTTCCTGGTAAGGAAATGGCTAGCAGTTATTCTGTAACCTTGGAGAACATGAAAAAAATCAGTAAAATGATTCTGTGAATGTATTCAGTACGGCATTTGATGTTCTCCTTATAATGTCTTTTAACAGAAGAAGCCCATTCTGTCTGGGTTGCTTATGGTCCAAAATTTGAAGGCTAGTGACTACCAAAGAATGCCAGATACAGCATTATTGGACAAAAAGGTGGAGATATATGTTGTAATATATGCATATAATAATATATTACTAACTTTCAGGAACATTTCTAAGTTCATTAATATATCTGTTTCTTTTAAAACTAATAAATGGCATTTCATTACTCTACTCAAAATTAATAATAAATAATTATTAAATAATAATTTCAATGTAGTGTCAAGTTCCAAAAGCTTTTGCAATGGGGCCAACCATATATGTGTGTGTTTGTGTGTGTGTGTGTGTGTGTGTGTATATATATATATATATCTCCATATATGTACATTTAATATATAACTTAATATATATATGATGAACAGTAGCAGAACTACTGAGAAGTCAGTGAAGCATAACGTTCATGAATCTTACTCGTATTGGCTTCTTTCAAACACAGGGGGAGATCTTAATAATATAGTCACAAGATATTATAAAATTTACAAAATTATGTATTTTCACAGCAGTCAAAATTTATTTCTTTTTTCTCCTTTCTTCTTTTCATACACTTCCCCATCTCAGTGGTTCAGTTATAATTATTGCTGCCACCATAGTAATCTGAATATAACATATTACCTTATAACAACTATTTAAATGTCTCTCTTAAAATTAGAAATACCTTCCGTTATTGTGCCTCTATTAACAGTTTATATTTATATTTATTCTTATATATTTAGAAATATTGTTTCATCAGTGAATTACTATAAGCTACTAAAGTTTATAATCTTTTTAATTTCAGATAAAACCAAAATACTTTTTCTAAAATTGGAAATTATGATTTCTAATTTCCAATACCAACAGCCCTATAACAAAATAACATGATGAAAAACAAGCATAAGAATTCTCAATTTCTTTTTCATTCTGATCCTCCAAGAGAAATGAAATTGCAGTTATATAAACAGATCTTTGATCACCACAGTAACCAGAGTCTAAGAGTTTTTCAGAAGCTTGTCAGGATCACAACCCACACACATATATTAGAAAAAAAAAAAAAAACTAAAAAAACTGCTGTAAGATTTAATGTAATTTATACAGGATCTATTAGTGGGCTTTATGATGTTAAAGTAGTCAATATATTTGTAGTCCTTGATGTATCTTTTTTTACCAACTATTAAATTTAACCAACACCTAATGAGCAACTATTTTATTTTACAGGCCACTATGCCAAGCAAACCAATGGATTAGGTAGATAGATAGATAGATAGATAGATAGATAGATAGATAGATAGATGATAGATAGATAGATAGATAGATAGAAAGATAATAGAGAGATTATAGACCTCTCTAAAATTATTTTACAATCTAATGAGTTAATAAATACACTTAAATTAAAAAAAAGAAAAATATAACATACCTCTTAAGATATAGGAATTATGGAACAATCATAACATTTGAAATATTTATTATTGCATATATTTATCAGGTACAATGTGATGTTTTGATATCTGTATACATTGTGGAATGCTGAAATCAGGATAATTAATATGATTATCTCTTCACTTAATTAACTTTTTTGTTTTGAGAACATTTAAAATCTATTCTCTTAGTAGTTTTCAAGTATATAATTATTATTAACTACAGTTACTGTGCTATAAAATAAATCTCTAGAACTATACACAGACTATTTTATATATATCCAATTATAGTTAAAAAATGCATGTTTTACACAATTAGATGATAGATAGATAGATAGATAGATAGATAGATAGATAGATAGATATAGATAGTTAGATAGATTTGAATAAAACAAATAGCCTAGACTATGTTACCTTGGGCAAATTATTTAAATTCTCTCTCACCTATTTGTTAAAAGTAGATTGCAATAGCCAGATTAGTTTTGTTGCATGAATAAACAATACATGCAAAGTAATCACAGACATTGCCATATTGATATTCTTGGTTTGAACATCATTGTTATCATTATTACAACCAATAAAAATGCATGAGGATAACTTAGTGGTGGTGAGATCACAGTTCCCAGGTGAGTCAGTAAAGCCTTTCATGTTTACGTGAACTAAAAATGAATGTGATCACTGCAGGAACTTAAGAACGACTAACTGTTACGAAAGAAGTCAAAGGAATTGAATGGAAGGTATGTTTCTACAGAAAGTACATTCTGATTTTACCAATAGTTTGTAGTATATTGACGATTTGTGCATTTCTGTGTGTATACATGATTTGAGGAGGCTGAGAGGGAGGAGTGCAAGTTGCCCTGTCACTTATAAATAATGGGGATGACTTTTCAAATTTTAGAGTTAAAAAAAATCACTAAATGGAGACGATAGAGATTAGAAAGGATGAAACGTATGTTCATGATTGAGCAGGTAATTAAGTCTGTCTGTGGCGAAAATGTAGGCAGTAGAGAGGCCTAAGGCCTAAGTAAGGTCCAGGATATTAGGAAATTACTTAAAGTGGTCTCATGAATACTGTTTGGTCCTCCAAACATTGAAACACCTTTCGTATATTAGAAATCTCCTCTTTAATGAATAGTAAAAGCCAATGTTGTGATATTGCAAAGGAAAATGAACTATTGCGATGTATCAGACTGTTCTAGAGAGCATTTCCCTAAGAATTTACAGGCTATTAGTAATTCATAATGCACTACAATTCTTACATTCTATGAAGTTAAATGATGAAATACCAAATTAATGTCTCACATTATACATCCTTGAATTTAGTGTCCATTCATGTTGCTAGCACATTGTCCTTCATCTAGAAGATATTCATTAACTAAGTATGGTGTTAGTAAGTGTTGAATACATGATAAGACAACACATTAATTTATACCTGCCTGCATTAAGAAATGTGTTGAACAGAGGTTTAGGTAGCTAATACAACAAGTAAGTGAAGTACCTTTTTTCCAAAAACAAATTTCAACTGGGAAAGAATTATTACAGGATTCATCTGTAGTGTTCACGAATCAAGGGTAGAGCAAAATAAATTAATAAAAATATTTTATTGGAAAGCACTTAGATCCTTGATCTAATCTGCGAGGTCAAAGAAGTTCATCTATATGCATTTTTTTGCTTGGCTAGATATGTTACTTATACTTGAGAAAAAATAATACATTTTAGGATTTAAATTGTTACTTTTAACTGTTTTTGCTAATTAAAATTTAAATGTATATAATTCAAATTCATTAACAAGTTATTATAATGTAATCTTTCAATATTCCTCTGCATTCAAGTTTATTATGTGTTTTATTACAAAAAGATGTGATTTTCTTCTAGAATGTTAACTTGCAAAATTTTTATAGTTTTTGTTATCATCCTCACATGATGAAAGTTTTAACTAATTTTGACTGCCTTTAAATATTTTATTTTACATGTTAAAATATGTCAGTTTTTATTAACATATGAGTGATTAGTATTTATAAGAATAATCTAAAATGTTTCTGGGAAGAATAATCTTTATTTTTCTTCCAAATGCTTAACCAGATTATCACATTTATTTTATTAACAAAAAATACACAATAATTTTTCTAATGGCAGCAATATTTTATGTGTATATTGTCATAGATAAGATGTATAGTAAAGTATATATGTATATAGTTATCATCAAATATATGTTGTAATATGTGTATATAATAATATATAACTAAGTCTTAGGAACTTTAAGATCAGTAATATATTTGTTTATTTTAAAACTAATAAATGACATTTCATTACTGTACTCAAAATTGATAATAAATAATTATTAAATAATAATTTCAATGTAGTGACAAGTTCCAAACGCTTTTTAAATAGGGCCAACCAGCCACCACTCTATGGGAATTATATGTATTACTTCTTTTAATTCTCAAACAGTTCCATGAACTATATTCTTCCTATTGTCTGGATTTAGAGAATAGGATGTTAAGAATTGAATAGGTGAGATAATTTATATCAGTTAACAGGCCTTCTACATGTTGGAGCCAGTACCTAAATCCGGGCATTGTGACTCTAAAGCTAGCTTATTTTTTTTCACTGTTTTATTTTTCTTTATTTTTAAAAACAATACTTCATTTTTTATTCTTTTTAACTGTCATGGAAATGACAGAATTATTTATTTCTTACACTTTTGAGGAAATTTGGGAATTTTTCACTTTGTCACCCTCATATTTCATGCTTACTAAACCCCCTTGTTCACAATGTTGTTGGTGTTTCTTTTTTGGTCGTATCTGTAATTACTTTTCCAGACCATATAATTGGAACTTCTGCTATAAGATGTTTGCAGACTTTCTAATAGGTAAATGTAAATTTCCAAAAAGCTATGTTTCCCTAGAACCAACATAGTTATGGAACATTGGCATGGCAACCTCTTCATCAACAGAGTAAAAAGATTTTACAGTAGTAGATCATTCAGTATCAGCATTGTCCCTGGGTTCAGCAATGTGGTTGGCACTAATTGTCACTTGAGATGGGAATTTGCCACTGTGTGTTATACCATGTAGTGAGCCAAGGAACGTGTAAGGCACTTGGCTAGTGTGGTAGCTTGAATTATTGATCTCAATTCTTCACTGCCCTGTGGTGACAGTATTATGCATCCATATGAACCCCTTGACATTGGCGTTGTTCTTGTGACTTGCTTTAGCCAATGAGATACTTTAGATGTGAAGTGAGCAGAAACTTGAAATATCCTTGTGCAGTTGAACTTGTCTTGAATTTTGACTGTGGAAAAATGTGCTTCAGTTAGCTGCTGAGAATGTGAACATGTGGTACCAGACTCAACCTACAACTTGGAACCAAGACCAGTGGAGCCTTCCTTATTAGAGCAGCCAAGCAACTAGCTGACCCAGATACAATTCAGAATCATTCATCGGATTTAGTAATGTCTTTCTTCAGTCTCCTTCAATTTGGAACCATTCTTCAGCCTTCATGACCTTGACATTTTTGCAGAGTACATGTCATTTACTGTGTAGAATATACTTCAATTAGTCCTTTTTGGTTACATTCTGGTTATGCACCTTTGGTTAAAAAAATAAAAATAAAAATAAACCCACAGAGATGTGCTTATGTCCTGGGACGTGATGAGTCTGTTCAACACAGTACAGTTGGCCCTCACTGTCGCTGGGTTCTGCATTCCTGAATTCAACCAAAAACCAATTAAAAATATTTGGGGAATAAAAAGTGTCTGCAGACTTTGTTTTCTTTGCCATTATTCCCTAAACATAACAGTATAACAACTATTCACACAGTATTTACATTGTATTAGGTATTATACATAATCTAGAGATTATTTAGTATTTTGGGAGGATGTGTGCAGCTTATATGCAAATATGACACCATTTTTTATATTGGGCTTGAGCATCAGTATATTTTTGTATCCGCAGAAAGTCCTGTAACTAATTCATTACAGATCTCAAGTGACAACTGTAGTGGCATAAGTAGTCCTGGATTTAAGGCCCCCAAATCTGTGTGTTCAATCACATAATTCATTTTTTTTTTAAGTCTGTAAAAGACGGAGTGTGGTGGCCCATGGCTATAATCCCACTGCTTTGAGAAGCTGAGGTGGGAGAATCACTTGAGCCCGGGACTTCAAGACCAGGCTGGGGCAGCACAGTGAGACATTGTCTTTTCAAAAAAACAAAAAAATTACCTGGGTGTATTGGTGCACTACGAAATTCCAGCTACTCAGAGGCGGGAGGACAGCTTGAGCCCAGGAGTTAGAGGCTCCAATGAGCTATGATGGTGGCACTGTACTCCAGCCTGGGTGACAAAACCACCTCCTGTCACAAAACAAATAAATGAGTAAATAAATATAAATATTAATTTTTAAAAATCGATAAACTCCAGGGAAAGAATTTAAAAGACATAATGCACACATAATCTTCAAAAATGTTTTATATTTTTAGCAGAAACTAAAAAGCAAATTTAATCAAAAGAAATATGTTAAAAATTTGTTAAAGAAGTTCTCTAATTTTCTTCTGGGGGAAAAATTGAATTTCTTTTTCTTTTCATTTTTCTTTCTTTGTTTTGTTTTGTTTTGGTCCCTCCAGGTGCTATGCTCAGAGAATGGTTGCAGAGTAGACTACCTTCATGAGTATAATTTGAGGCCAATTCAGGATTTCCAGAATGAAATATTTTTTTAAAAAGTACAACATAGGTGGGAATTGAACAATGAGAACACTTGGACACAGGAAGGGGAACATCACACACTGGGGCATGTCTTGGGGTGGGAGGAGGGGGGAGGGATAGCATTAGGAGATACATCTAATGTAAATGATGAGTTAATGGGTGCAGCACACCAACATGGCGCATTTATACATATGTAACAAACCTGCACGTTGTGCACATGTACCCTAGAACTTAAAGTATAATAATAAAAAAAGTACAACATAGTCTCTCTGCTCCATGTGATTTTGTATCTATATACCTATGTCTATTTCATTATAAATTAAATCACTTTCCTCTCAATTTTACTATATTTGTTGACAAGAGCTGCTTAGGCTTAAAACCTGGTATGTGTCCATGAACCTTTCTGAACACACATTTGTGAAGCTCTCTTCATTTCATTTGCCCTCCTGCCATAACTGGAGATTTACAAATCCTTCTTTAGGATACTGCAGCAACCACTGCCCTGCCCTCTGCCTCTAGTTCCTTAAAAACTCTCATTTACACTTAGAAAAGCTTCCACATTACTCTTTCTGAAGCAATCATAAATAAATTTTTGCTGTATAAAATTTTCTAATTTCATTTACTGTGTATCAAATATAGCCTAAACCAGGAATTTCCGGTCTTTGACTTCCCTGGGCTACATTGAAAGAAGAAAAACTGTCTTGGGCCACAAATTAAATACAATAACACTAACAATAATAGATGAGCTAAAAAAAATCACCAAAAAAAAATCTCATAATGTTTTAAGAAAGTTTACAAGTTTGTGTTGGGTCACATTCAAAGCCGTCCTGTGCCGCTTGCAGCCTATGGGCCATGGGTTGGACAAAATTGACCTAAACTGTCAAGAATAAAACACAGGACATCTGTGATTGATGGCTGGGTAGCAAATGTTAAAATCTAACCCTGAGGTGGAAGGGAGAAGGGAACTGACTTGTAATTACAGCTATCTCTGGGAATACATGGGAGATTGGTTTCAGAGGACCCCTACATATACGAAATGTCCATACTCAAGCCCTGCGGTCATCCTTGTGAGATTTTCTATACCACAAATATATTTTTGTTGCATTAGGTTGAGAAAAATCCACCTATAAATGGACGTGAGTACTTCACAACCTGTTATTCAAAGGTCCACCGTATTGCCCATTTCTGTACTGTAAATTCTTCCACCATGGCTGATGTAATGCTACCCACGTGACATCACTGAACATGGAGTTGAGAAAGGGTGAACACTAACTAACTTGTTAGTAGGTACAAGTTAGCCTCAGTGTACTTCTGTTATCTTAACACACTTTATGTTTCTAAGCTTGATCCTCATCTATTGCTCTAAATATAAATAATCCCCTACTCAAATTAGGCAATCTTCAAAGTTGTAATGAAACATCATTCAGACTGGATTACCAACTAAAATCCTTATGCTTTAGTAACTTGGAAACAGAGTTAAAAAGTGAAACAGTAGGAGCACAACTAATTTTAAAGCTCTCATTTCAGAGATTATATGCAGTAAATGATCTTGGCATATATAACATGTAAAAAATATACAGAAATAAGGATTATTGAAAATAGCATTCTATAAGAGCTGTTATTGATATATCTGTCTAGATTTTAAGCATGTTTATGACTTTACCCAGAGAAATTTTTAAACTCATTTTCTTCATTCAAAAAGAATATATGTATATACTCTCCATATATTTTAATTATTAATATAATAATAACAAACTACAAATGTATCCAATTATTATTATAAGTTACAAACTACAAATGTATCCAATTATTATAAGTTACAAACTACAAATGTATTCAGTTATTATTATAAGTTTAAAAATGTTTCAAAATATGGGCTTGTAGGTGTTTTACGGGAAAGTGATGCCAGTACTCTTGCTCTCTATTGCCAAAGGCAGGCCTGAGTGTAGTAGTCCCAAAGTGGCAAACATTTAAAAGTCTAATAGAAGTTTCTGATAGAATCCCCAACCTAAGCCCGTGTACCAACTGAGCTTCTATAAAGAATTTTCTCTTAAAAGGTTGGTCAGGCATGCAGCTCCAAAGAGTATTGTACTATTGTTCCATAGGCACAGGCACCTCAGAATATTAGACAGAGTTCAATAGATATGCATACAGCACAATTACATGTTTTAAAGAATGCCTGGAAGATGTGTTGAGCCGAGAAAAGAGTAAGACGTTTCTAATCTGCCAAGAAGTGATTACACCTGATGGAGTTCATCAAGCATTAAGAAGACATTGCAACATGCTTAGTTTCTGTATCAATACATTCAATTCAAGGTCAGTCAAGTGTGGATACATAGTAATTGTATTGATTTCTCTTAGTTATATAATGAGTGTTATTTGAATGGCCAAATGATGAGTGTAATTTTTGCTTACTATTAAACACCTCTGCTTTTGAGGCACTAGACATGTTTAAATAGGTATCTGTAGATGAATACACTTCATGGACGATTTCTTCATATGGTAAATGTAAAATAAGATATGTTTTATTTATAGGGCAAGGGTCCTATTTTGTTCAGGGCAATATTTGAAATAGTTATTTCTTCTACAATTTTTTAAATTCTAAAATTTCTAATAATATGTTGAGTCATTGGGGTATACTGATAAGCCTTAATTAGAAATAGAGTACGTATAGGCCGGGCTTGGTGGCTCGCGCCTGTAATCCCAGCATTTTGGGAGGTGGGCTGATCACGAGGTCAAAAAATCGAGACCATCCTGGCCAACATGGTGAAACCCGTCTCTACTAAAAAATACAAAAATTAGCTGAGAGTGGTAGCGTGCGCCTGTAGTCCCAGCTACTCAGGAAGCTGAGGCAGGAGAATCGCTTGAACCAGGGAGGTGGAGGTTGCAGTGAGCCGAGATGGTGCGACTGCACTCCAGCCGGGTGACAGAGTGAGACTCTGTCTCAGAAAAAAAAAAAAAAAAAAAAAACAAGTATGTCTAATATATGTCTAATATACTGCTACTCTTATCCCTTGGGGTGGCCTAAGTTGCAACACTGACTCCTCAGCTGATCAATTACATCTGAGACCAATCTTGAGTTTCAGATAAATAAATAAACTGATGTTATTTCTAAGTGTGTTATTTCATGAACACATTAGGAAAATATTGTTCTAATCCCCCATGAGACCATTAATAGATAATTTTAGGGATTTTTTCACTACAATAAATGTCGCTCTTGAGCACCCTTGTTATGTAGTGAAATAGCTATTCTTTATAGACCCTCAAAGAAAATCAGAGATTTAACAGAAATTCCTCCCTCAGCCTTATCTCCTTTCTGAAATTATATTTTAATGCCAGTGGACATCACTATTAGAATATTATTCTTTCACTAATCATGACAAGAACACACGAGAAAAACATCTCTCTCTCTCCTTACTCCTCATTACTTTACTGTCAGGAATACCCTAACTAATTGTTAATTGAAAAATGCCTAGTTATAAACCTTTCTCTTCAACTCTCTCCTGAAGCTCATTCCTGCAGAGAGGTGCATTCTGGTCGTTTCGTTTGTTTGTTTGTTTATTTTCAGACATGCATTAAGTTTTGCAAGGTAGCTTCAGACACTGGCAAAAGGACAATTTAAATTCAGAAGCGTATTATAAAAGAAGATACAATTTAGCTCTGCATAAAGTTCACATCTCCTATTGAATATAATTTTATTGATAAAGCAGACATTTTGATCACTCTCCTTCTTCTGCATCTGATCATTCAAACCTTAGAGGAACTCATTTAGTTACATGTCTTTAAATATCACCTATTTACTGATGACTCCTTCATGCTTATTTATAGCCCCGTTTTATGCTCAGAGCCCTAGACTTATTATCTATCTGTAACAGGATATATAGAATAGATAATATAGTCATGATGTATCCACAAGCAATTTTTAAAAAATCCTTTCAAGAAAATAAACGAAAGAAAAAAAACTTTTCTTTCAAAATTCCCTATGTCAATTAAATGAATTGCTATATTCTTAGCACAAAATTCATCTTGACTCTATTTTTCCTCTCTCTTTTTATCACTAGTCTAAGCAATCTATCAATAAGTCCTATGGCAGGTTCCTTTTAAATATATGTAAAATAACACTTGTAATGGCATCTATGCTGTACTCCAGTCCAAGCCGCCAACATTTCTTCCCTGGACCATTTTAATAAACCACTGGTCGATATAACCACGTCTATTCTCTACTGACAAACTAGTCCATATGGAAACCAAAGTAATCTATAAGATTAACAACGTTCAAAAGTTTTCAATCTCACTGTGTATAAAAATGAAATTCCTCACCATGCTGTACGAATTTTTACATTGTTTTGGTTCCTTGCTTTTTCTGTTACTTTCTGTTCCATCTATTTGACCACATTTATTCAGTTCTAATCCTAATAGTTTAACTACTGATTTAAACAAAATACATATTTGGTCATGGTTTACATGCATTTTTCTTGTTGATTCATCTTTCTAGAACACTATTGTCATTGATAACTGTGTGACTTACTCCTTTAATATTTTGTTTATGGTTAAATGCCATCTTCACTGAGATAATTTTTGCAACTGCTCTCCAAAAAATATGTAATCTTTATTTATCTCTTTTTCATAGTATTTATAAATATAAGTCTTTTTTTTTTTTTTTTTTTTTTTTTTTGGCCTTCGAACCACCCTTCTAAAGTATCAGGTCTTTGAAAGCAGGAATTACGTCACATAACAGATACATTTTCTTAACGGAGTTCTGTCACATAGCAGATGTTTAATGTGTGTTATTAAATAAAGGAAGGAATATTTGAGGAAGGAGACAGGATTATTACTTATTGAAATCCTACAAACACCACTACACCTTAAATCTTTCTTTGAAATACTGTTCCCACCTTCCCTATTACACAGACCAAACTCAATCCCTCAGCATGTCTCAGATTTGCTATCACAATGACATTCTCCCTGCCTTCATTACTTGCTTTGTTTTGATAAATCAATCCTTGAGTTGAATAAATTAATAAATGTATTTATCAAGTAAGTAAATGATGATGAAGTAATCAAATAATAGGACTGTGAGAGAATTCTACCAAAATGTTAGCCATTTTGTAATTAAATTTTTCCCATAGTTGTGCATTAGATACATGTTAAAGTGTAAGAGCCACATCTTTTCCTCTGGCTCTTCGTAACCTGACTACTATGAACGTTTCTAGCCTATTCATTTTGACTTGTAGTCATTTTGTATGTGGTAATAGATGTAATTGTTTGTTTCAACACAGCTTTGTGTATTTTATCTTTGCTTCCACTCATCTTTCTGCTGTAATTTTCCATTCAACTATCAAGTCTAAGATTATATTGCATCTAAGAAATCTTTCCACTTTTACTTTATTCTAAAGTAACCAAGAAATACAAGTATGGAACAGCACTATGTGCTAGGCATGGAGTTGCCTATTTTTCATGAAATAAATAATCCTAAGAAAGGGTGTTGATGTTTTATTAGGGGAGAAAATGGAAGTACAGAGAGCAAAGGTCATAAAGTTACACAGCATATTGGGACTGTAGTCAAACTCCAATTGGCCTGATTTCAAAAGTACTTTGTTTTTTTTCACAGCATGCCATTCTATGAACGTTGCTCTACATTGTAGAGTTTATATGACAGGGTTTTATTCTTTATTTTATTAGATAGTCACAGCACCACAAAGTGGTGTGTGAAAAGATTTCTAAAAGGGATATGAACATTTCAGAGATGTAGGTAAATATTTACATTAGCTTCTAATATTCTTGTTTATTAAGATATAAAGATTGTCCTAAAAAGCTTTGAATTTGTTAGTGAAGAAGAGTAGTAAAGTAATAAGAAAGAATCATGAGGCATAAAATAATAAACACCTTGAAGACTAGAGAATATGTTATTTTTTTTTTACAAAATGTTAATGACATTCTACAAGTCACAAAAATGTGTGTGACATTTGTTTTCAATTCAATCTGTGGCTCCATGGCAGTCATTTAGCATGGCTGGGAAATTCCCGGGGAAACTAAATGGCAAATGAAAATTTCATTTTATTATTTCTCAAGAGTAGCCAAAATTAGATTGCTAATTATAGAATCACTAATTAGAAATACAGCATCTCTATACATAAAAGACATTTTCAGAAAGAAAAGTGATGCATATTTTCATTTAGGCATAAGCATTATGTAGAATATGATCCTAAGCACTATTTTGGAATTTCTCTAAAGCCACATAGAAATGTTAGAGAAAAATTTTGGAAAGCGTTACTTGGCTTGAGCTATTTTACTATTTCGTAGAAGCACAATGCTAGCTCTCTGCATATTGAAAAGTCCTCTTCCTAATTAGAAAAAATGTAAATCCCTGAAAAAACTACATTTAAATCTTGGGGTTTTATAATTAGCTTTACATTATATACATTTTCAGTAATCAAATCCTAACTTGTGATACAGAACATCAATTTGTTTATAAAGTATTGTTCATAGCGAATATATCCCTTTAGGCAATGCATAACTTGAACAACATTTCCAAATAGGCAAGAGTAGCCTGTAGGGAAATTTAAAGCTTTATTGTTCTTACAACCATGACATTATAATACTATGCTTTGTGCAATACTGATTTATAATTTATGTTATCTCTTTTTTAAAGCTTTAATTGAGAGTGAACTCTTGGGATAATGTTTAACTTGTTTCAGATGTGTATTAAAATGCTCAGCTGAAGCATTTATAAAGTATTTTGATAATAATTTTGCCTCAAGCTATATTAACTATTAACTTAAATCTACATGCTTACTTTGAGAAATGCACATTGAATATGTATAGCATTTATCTAAAATTACAAAATAAATGAGTAAAAATGAATACTCACATCAGCAATATTCCAAAGTATCAACTACAGAAAACTATTATTTTAATACTATTTCAGAGACCATTTATTGGAAGACTATGAGAATAAAAATAGCTAAATTTTTAAGTATAACATATAGCTGTAGGAGGAGCTGTGTGTCTATATAGCAGAAAATAGGGAGCTGGTTTCACTTCATCATTATTTAATAAAGAAAGCAACTAAAAATTCAAAATAACTAAAAATAGCATTATTTTATTTTATCTGCAAAACATTTAAATTATCATCTTTATTGCATAGGAAACAAAGAATATAGAAAATGTATTAAATACATAAGTTGCTAATATAATTATATTTTATTTTAGTGTGATTTATATTTACATTATAGTACAATATAAATAAATGTATTTGATTTTCTTCTAGTAGAAGAAGACCCTGAGGTTAATTACCTGAAGATTTAAATTTTTCAATTACTTTTCTTGGTTTAATTTTTACTATACTTGCTGAATTCAAAATATTTTTGTCCAAAATACAACATCATATCAGATGAATACATGCTCCAACTTTGAATCAAGTGGTACGGACCTAGTTATTTAAAAAGTGTACACTTAGTAGCACATCTCATAAAGTTCATGATTAATAGACATCATCAGGAACCCTGACATTTTAGCATCAATAAAAAGACCTTGCCTAAAAATAGTAATTGATTAAAATAGAAGAAATAAAATCCCACTGTTATATATAGAAAAACATTTTAAGACATAAAGTCAGTTTTATAAATATTTAAGGTATGCATGCATCTATGGCTTCACAACAAATTATGCACCAGTTTTACAAATGCAATGAATATATTCAGCATTTTAAAAAATGAATTTCTTTTCTCTGTGTTTAGTTTTGCATAGCTTATATTAGTTTACCTAAGATCACAGAAATGTAAACCATTTTCTTTTGGCATCAGAATTGTCTGCAATAATTATAATGGGGTATGAGTGAACTTTTTCTGTCTTTTGAGAGACATAAAATTTTTCCCCTGATGCTTGATAGATACCAAATTATATTAACTATGATATGATATAATATTAAGTCATATATTTCATTCACCAGCATCTATTGAGCATCTACCAAGTTTTAGATGTTTTGATTCACAGTTTAATTAGGCATATTTTTGATCTGCCAAACACCTATGTCTACTAACAAAAGAAAAACACATAGCAAATAATAATTGATCCAAGTGTTAGACTAAATATTTCAATAACATACATAGAATTCATAAAGAACATAATCAGTATATAAGCTTATAAATTTAAATACATTAATATGCAATTTTGACTTTCATTACTTGCTATATTTCCTAGTTAAAATATGTGTGAATTTATTCTGTTTTGGAGTATAGTTTTACAATGGATCTGGCCCTAGAAAGCCCTAAAATTTACTATAGGAACCTCTTGTTATTTGGCTAGATTTACACAGAATTATATGATTACAACGTGAATTTATGAAGATTTTAACAACTGAACAATAAAATACTGAAGAACAAAAATGTATGATAGAAAATATAAAGTTTATTCAAGTTAAAACGGTTTTGAAGAATGTGATTCGTTTAGTACTCAAAATGTGCCCAGGAACTACAGGAGCTACTTTTGATATTTAATTGCCAAAGAATCTTAGAGTATGTAACCATCCCTTTTTTACATATATCATTCCATATCTTGTATAAGATTGTATGGCCAGAAACTGACCTAAATAAGTGAGGTTTGGCCATAGGTTTGTATGACTCCAAATATTTTCTTATTTTCTGAAGTAACACCGATCGTTTGCAAATATATTTAAAATGCTTAAAATAAATTCATTCTAATTAAAGTATTAATAGATATTCATTACAGTGTGAGTTTTTTATCTAATCAACACTCATCTGCTAAATATTATCACTAAAATACTGTGCAAGGCATTCAGGACACTGCAGTGAGCAAGGCAGAATTTGTCCCTCCCATCATATGTTCTATGAAGAAAAACAAGAAAAAATAATAAATATAGAATTATTTATATCAAGTGATTACGTTTAAGCAGTTTAACGGAAATACATAAAATACCATAACCATTTATAACACAGAGATCTGATGGGTTCGCTAAGGCAAGAGATGGTTTCCTGAGTAGGAAATAATCTGAGATCTATATTATAAGAAGGTGCAAAGGGGAAAAAGAATGTTCTAGGTATATATGGTAGATAGAATAATGGTTGAATTTCTGGAAACCCCGAATACATTATGTTACATGGTGAATCATTGCAGATATGATTAATCTAAGGATATTGAGATGGGAAGAGTATCCTGGAGTATCAGAGCAGACCCAACATAATCACAAGGGTGTTTGTAAATGAAATTAAAACAGAGACAGAAACATCAGAGTAAGAGATGTGGTAACAGACTTTAGAGTCTGAAATATTTTGGAAGGAGCTACCCTATTCCCTTTGAAGATGAACGACAGGTTCAAAATTCCAAATTCAGATGGCCTCTAGAAGCTGAAACAGTAAAGAAAATAAGAGTAGCCTACAGAGACTCCAGAAGAAATACAGTTCTTCTAACTTCTCAACTTTGCCCAATAAGACCCAATTTGAATTTTAACCTCCTGAACTTTCAGTTAATGAATAAATATGTGTTGCCTTAAGCCACTATTCCATGTTAATTTGTTACAACAGCAATGGGAAACTGACACAGCAGCATAAATATAACATATAAACCCAGAGGTAGGAATGACCATGCCATGTTCATAGAAAGGTAGTTTAACTTGAGAAAATAATTAAATAATTTGCCAGGTTTTTATAAAGTTGTTTGCTTCATTTAAAAATTTCTCATGTGGTTCTCATAATAAGAATCTCAAACATTGTCTATTATCTATGAAATGGCCAATAATTTCAGTACAACTGGTATATTCGTTGGCTGTGGCTGCCATAACAAAATCTCATAGACTGAGTGGCTTAAAACACAGAAAATTATTTTCTCATAGTTCTAAAGTGTCGAAGTCCAAAATCAGGGTGCGATCAGGGTTCTTTCCTCTGAAACCTCTCTTTTTGGCTTGCAGATGATGTTCCTCTTGCTGTCTTTTCACATAGTGGTATCTCTGCGCACACACACCCCTCCTGTTTCCCCATACATCATAATTTATTCTTATAAAGATGCCAATCAGATTGTATTAGGGCCAACACTATTAGTCTCATTTTAACTTAATTACCTCTTCAGTGTCCCTATCTCTTAAATACAATCACATTCTGCAGTACTGGCAGTTTGGACTTCAGCATATGAATCTGAGTGTGTTGTGATGCCTATAACAAATGGTTACAGAACACCTACCACAATCACTGCTATAGTATACATTACTAACATTTTCCTCAAACTATCGACATAAAAGATAATCACAATATCCATTTGTATTAGTCCATTTTCACACTGCTATAAAGAAATACCCGAGACTGAGTAATTTATAAAGGAAAGAGTTTTAATTGACTCACAGTTCAGCATGGCTTGGGAGAGCTCAGGAAACTTTCAATCACGGTGGAAGACAAAGGGGAAGCAAGGATCTTCTTCACATGCCAACAGGAGAGAGAAATGAAAGCAAGGGAAATGCCAGACATTTTAAAAACTATCATACCTTATGAAAACTCACTCATTATCATGAGAACAGCATGGGGGAAACCACCACCATGATCCAGTCAACTCCCTCCCTCCACACGTGGGGATTGCAGCTCCACACGTGGGGATTACAGGTCCCTCCCTCAACATGTGGGGATTACAATTCGAGGTGAGATTTGGGTGGAGACACAGAACCAGAGCCAAACCATATCATCACTAATGTTGGCAGTGGCCATATGAGTCACTATGACCAAAGGGATATGAGGGAAAATTATATGAAGTATTTAAGCAACATTTCCTAGTAATTGATGTCCTCTCCTCCTGCTGCTTTAACGAGTGTGATTTCAGAAGGTGGAACCTCTGTCAGATTAGAAAATAGGCAGAGGATAAAAACAAAGTTTCATGCATACCTGCAATGGAGAAGAAACATCTCACTTTCTTTTTTGAAGTACTGATACATTTTCATTGTTTTTACTACAATATTTTCCAGACTCTGTTGACTATTATAACTGGTATTGCTATTGGGACTACTCATGGAATATTTATGCTCTCTTACTCTGTGTATAATTGTGCATTTAATCTTATGTATGACGCAGTTTTATTCTTGGTTTCTTCTTGTGACTTGACTTACGTTTTCACTTAGGACAAACTTTTACTTTTATTATCTTCATCTAAGTTCAGCAAAAGATAACTCTGTTTCCTTTCTGTCATTGTGTTTTTTATACCTTGTTTTAGTCTCTGGTATTAATTAATTTACTACCTAACTTCCACTCCGATCACTTTAGTACTCCAGTCATTATTGGTCCAGCAAATAATACCTGATCTGTATGTTTTCTGGAGTTTCATTAATTTTGCTAATAATAGATTGCTAATTTTGCTAACAATAAAACATAAATCTATTCTTTGTAGAAAAAAAAACATTTTTAAAGAGAGAATTCTTCATGTATTGGGTTCCATTATAAAAGTTGGTCAAAACTTTCTATCTTGAAATATCTTATTTTTTGGCAGAGCAAGTATCTTGAGGTAGGACACACATTAACACAAGGACATGAGAAGAACTTAATAAAAAGTAGGGAAATACACTTAATTGTATTTAAAGCCATATTATGGAGTAACTAAAAGAGTATGGAACAAATAAGTGAAATTCCAGTAATTTATGTGTTACTATATTTGCATTTACCTTTGTGTGTTTGTGTGTGTGTGAGAGAGAGAGAGAGTGAGCGAGAAGGAGTGAAAGAGAGAGAGACAGGTGTTTACATGTCTTGATTACAAAAGTAATTTTCAAGAGGTGTTGTATATCATGGTTTGTATCAAAAGCCAAAGCTTTTTGATCTATCATTTCCAACCTCATGAAGAGATATTTGTTAAACTATTGATTCTTTAAAAGTTAAAAATATAATTTTTCAGCCTACATTGAATATAGAAGATGTCATGTGTCACAGTTGTGGGCATTAAGGCACAAATCAATTTTTTTTTTTTTGAGATGGAGTCTCGCTCTGTTGCCCAGGCTGGAGTGCAGTGGCACGATCTCGGCTCACTACAACCTCTGCCTCCCGGGTTCAAGCGGTTCTCCTGCCTCAGCCTCCCAAGTAGCTGGGACTACAGGCGTGTGCCACCACGCCCGGCTAATTTTTTGTATTTTTAGTAGAGACGGGGTTTCACCATGTTAGCCAGGATGGTCTCAATCTCCTGACCTCGTGATCCGCCTGCCTTGGCCTCCCAAAGTGCTGGGATTATAGGCGTGAGCCACCGTACCCGGCCAGCACAAATCAATTTCTTTTCTTCTTGTCTCCTTTACACAATGTTGATCAGGTATCTGAAGCTCAGAAGTCCAAGAGAAGTCAGAAAATGACAATGCAAAGTAAATAGCTAGCCCGTAATAATGGCAAAAAAGAAACTGTGCGTGTGTGTGTGTGTATGTGTTTGTGTTTATGCATACTCACTTTTTTTCTCTCAGAACTGTCGGGATGCTACTTTCCAACGATCTGTATGATGAGAGCTCTACCTACATAAATAGAATACAGTTGACATTAAGCAAAATTATAAAAATAAATACATTTCTCAAACAGTCACTTATCAATATACATCTTTAATTCTACTTGCCATAATCTCAGTGTTCTATTTTAAAACAATTGTTATTAAGTGCTTTGTTTGAAAGAAGTCTAAAATGTGGTAGTACAGGTTGAGTATCCCTTATCTGACATGCTTGGGACAAGAAGTGTTTTAGAGTTTTGGATTTTTGGGATTTTGGAATTTTTGTGTATACATAATGATACATCTTATAGAATACTACTCAAGTTTAAACACAAAATTCATTTATGTTTCATATACACTTTGTACATATAGTCTGCAGGTAATATTAGATACTTTTTTTTTTTTTTTGAGACAAAGTTTTGCTCCTGTTGCCCAGGCTGGAGTGCAGTGGCACGATCTCGGCTCATTGCAACCTCAGCTTCCCGGGTTGAAGCGATTCTCTTGCCTCAGCCTCCCGAGTAGTGGGATTACAGGCATGTGCCACCATGTCCAGCTAATTTTGTATTTTTAGTAGAGACAGGGTTTCTCCATGTTGGTCAGGCTGGTCTCAAACTCTTGATCTCAGGTCATCCGCCCACCTTGGCCTCCCAAAGTGCTGGAATTACAGGCGTGATAGATAATATTTTTAATAACTTTGTTTATAAAACAAAATTTTGACTACAACTCATCACATTAGGTCAAATATGGAACTTTCCTCCTGTGGAGTCATGTCAACACTTATAAAGTTTTGAATTTTGGATTATGTTTGATTTCAGATATTTGGATTAGGAATCCTCAACCATTATGATATGATTACTTCTAATTCATTATTAAACATTTTAATTCTGCAACTTTTATTTCATCAAATATTTGCATATTTGTATATAAAGTCATACAGAGAATGGTTGTTTCTGTAAAATACACTGATAGTTGTCTTCTCTCTACAAGCTGAAAAATCTTTTACGAATATGAGATTTATTTAAACAACTTGACAAGAAAATGAGTTAATTAAAAGTCGTAAAAGGCTGGGTGAGGTGGCTTACCCCTGTAATCCCAGCACTTTGGGAGACTAAGGCGGGCGATCACTTGAGGTCAGGAGTTCGAGACCAACCAGGCAAACACGGCGAAACCCTGTCTCTACTAAAAATACAAAAATAAACCAGGCATGTTGGTGCATGCCTGTAATCCCAGCTACTTGGAAAGCTGAGGCATAAGAATCACTTGAACCTGGGAGGCGGAGGTTGCAGTGAGCCAAGATCGCACCACTGCACTCCAACCTGCTGACAAAGTGATAGTCCAACTCAAAAATAAAAAAATAAATAAAGGTCACAACATAAAATTATACTTGAGAAAAGCAAAAAAAAATGCATATGTGGGTGTACATGTATGTTCATCTGTGTCCCTACCTGGAGTATGACAACAGATAAAATTATCAAATAAGTGTCTTCATACAGCAGAGTGCCTAGGCATTATTTGAAAAAATGTGAAAAGTTTTTTCCCTCCACATGACACATGACATTAAAAATAAAATGAATATTATTGTATTATCTAAGTAGGTCTTTACTTGAAGTGTAGCACTTTTAAAGCAAATCAACAAATTAGTTTTGCATGAATGATTGTTATTTGCAAGATGATGTTACCTATAGGTATTCCAACTATAGATATGGTTAATTGTTATGGAATAACTATGAGTATTAAATATTGTATCTGAGAAATACCAGAAATATTTTTGGAAGACAGGAGACTTGACTATTTGATATTCTACTACCTGTAATATTTTCGATAGCCAAAACAACAGGCTCTAAGACTAACTAAATGGGAAATAAATTTAGAAACATACTGTCTTACAAAAATTTAGAGAAGTTTGAGCACTAAAAAGACTACCATGTGATGTTATTTGAGTGAATAATTGGAAGGCAGGTAGATAAGCGACTGGCATACAGGAAATATTCAAAAATATATTGACTATGTAGCAAATTAGAGTTACTTCAGAACAAAGAACACCTGATTACATCTTTTATTAGAGTATGTAAGTCTCTTAATGAAACTGACCCAATAGTCTCATAGACCATTTTTTTTTGATAAATATAGAAATTGAGAATCTGTTCTTAAGCTTGGAACTTAAATTTGTTTTATCTGAGTTCCTTCCTCAGCAAAGGATCCCCAGGTCTCTCAAAAAGCATCAAAGAACTGAAATTCACCAGATCATAGTGTACACACAATGAGATGACAGGCCCCGTATTCATTATGATTAATTCCTTACCCCTCCTGAATTCCTGTTCTCCTATATATTGTTACATTTTCTTTTCTGCTCTAAGCCCCTAATTTAATCAGTTAAAGAGATGGATTTAAGACTGATCTCCCATCTCCTCAGCTGCAGCACCAAATAAAGCCTTCTTGTTTGGCAATACTCATTGTGTCAGTGATTGGCTTTCTGTGTGGAGAGCAGCAGGACCCAGACTAACCCCCTGGTGTTTAGGTAACACTACCACCATGATGGCTAATTTGGCTTATTTTGGTGTTTTTTTCTTTTGGATACAGATCAACTTAGACAACCAAATAGTATACTGTTAACTTTAAAGTTATAAATTTCCATTCCCTATTTTCTTTTTAGTGACAGAGTCTCACTGTGTTGCCCAAGCTGGAGCAGAACGGCTATTCACAAGCCTGATCATAGTGCACTGTAGTCTCAAACTCCAGGACTCAAGCAATACTCCTACCTCAGTCTTCCAAGTAGTGAGGACTAAAGCATTGTGCCACCACAACCAGTTGTTTTCATATTCAACATATATCAGTCTAGATCTTTTAATCAATACATATTAGTTTCCATTAGAGTTGCAAATAACAAACAGAAATATACGCATGACTATAAATTATATATATGTATATATACACATATATTTACATACATACATATGTGTATGTCTAGTGTTATATACATGTATATATTTGTCTATTCATTCAATTATCTATAAGTTAAAAACTAAGACTAGGTAAGTCCTTTAAGTTAGTTGTAAAAATTATAACATACATCTACTTTGCAATCACTTAATAACTGTTTATATGTGATATGTAATATTCCAAATTAATTTAATCACATAGTCTTATATAAATATTTTGGATAAAATTTTATACAATGTGTTGAAAATAAATTAAGATCTCTGGGCCTTACCTGGCTCCTTATTTATAAATTTGGTTTGATATTCTTATGTACCTTGTGATATTCTTAGAGAATAAGACTCATTTATCCCTCTGTGAAATGGACTTGTCCCTATTTTCCACTCATCTGAATGGTTTTTGCAGAAGCTTCCTGCTGGTCTAGGGGATGCTTCACAAAATATTTTCGAAAGGGTATTGAGAAAGAGAAGTCTTTCTTTGTCTGTTCCCAAAACATAAAGCTTTGAGTCTACCAGTGGAGACATTTTCTATACTGCATACCTGATAAATGTGTAAAACTAGAATGAATAAAATAAGTAGAAATAGAGGAGGGCAGGAGGATGAGAGCAAATACAGGAATAGGAAAAAGCAGGGTACAGATAGAGAGAAAGAGAGAGAGATAGAGAGAGTACTTTTTAGCTGCTGTCTGTATGTTCTTCAGTCATTTCTGACCACAGCATTCAAAGTATCAGATGAAGACCTTTATATAAATTCTTCTAAATTCTTTTTTTTAATATACTTTAAGTTCTCGGATACATGTGCAGAATGTGCAGGTTTGTTACACAGGTATACATGTGCCAGGGTGGTTTGCTGCACCCATCAACCCGTCATCTACATTAGGTATTTCTCCTGATGTTATCCCTCTCCTAGCCCCTCACCCTGCAACAGGCCCCAGTGTGGGATGTTCCCCTCGCTGGGTCCATGTGTTCTCATTGTTCAGCTCCCACTTATGAGTGAGAAAAGCAGTGTTTGGTTTTCTGTTCCTGTATTAGTTTGCTGAAAATGATGGTTTCCAGCCTCATCTATGTCCCTGCAAAGGACATGAACTCATCCTTGTTTATGGCTACATAGTATTCCATGGTGTATATGTGCCACATTTTCTTTATCCAGTCTATCACCAATGGGCATTTGGGTTGGTTCCAAGTCTCTGCTATTATGAAAAATGCTGCAATAAACATACGTGTACATGTGTCTTTATAGTAGAACGATTTATAATCTTTGGGTATACACCCAGTAATGGGATTGCTGGGTCAAATGATATTTCTGGTTCTAGATCCTTGAGGAATCGCCACACTGTCTTTCACAATGGTTGAACTAATTTTCACTCCCACCAACAGTGTAAAGTGTTCCTATTTCTCCACATCCTCTCCAGGATCTGTTGTTTCCTGACTTTTTAATGATTGCCATTCTAACTGGTGTGAGATGGCATCTCATTGTGGTTTTGTTTGCATTTCTCTAATGACCAAGGATGATGAGCTTTTTTTTTATGTTTTTTGGCCACATAAATGTCTTCTTTTGAGAACTCTCTGTTCATATCCTTTTCCCACTTTTTGATGGAGTTGTTTATTTTTTTCTTGTAAATTTGTTTAAGTTCCTTGTAGATATTAACCCTTTGTCAGACGGATAGATTGCAAAAATTTTCTCCCATCCTGTAGGTTGCCTGTTCACTCTGATGATAGTTTCTTTTGCTGTGCAGAAACTCTTTCATTTAATTAGATCCCATTTGTCAATTTTGGCTTTTGTTGCCATTGTTTTTGTGTTTTAGTCATGAAGTCTTTGCCCATGTCTATGTCCTGAATGGTATTGCCTAGGTTTTCGTCTCGGGTTTTTATGGTTTTAGGTCTTATGTTTAAGTCTTTAATCTATCGTTAGTTAATTTTTGTACAAGGTGTAAGGAAGGGGTCCAGGTTCAGTTTTCCCAATACCATTTATTAAGTAGCGAATCCTTTCCCCATTGCTTGTTTATGTCATATTTGTCAAAGATCAGAGGGTTGTAGATATGTGATGTTATTTCTGGGGCCTCTGTTCTGTTCCATTGGTCTACATATCTGTTTCAGTACCATTGCCATGCTGTTTTGGTTACAGTAGCCTGTAGTATAGTTTGAAGTCAGGTAGCGTGATGCCTCCAGCTTTGTTCTTTTGGCTTAGAATTGACTAGGCAATATGGGCTTTTTTTGGTTCCATGTGAAATTTAAAGTAGTTTTTTCTAATTCTGTGAAGAAAATCAATGGTAGCTTGATGAAGATAGCATTGAATCTATAAATTACTTTGGGCAGTATGGCCATTTTCACAATATTGATTCTTCCTATCCATGAGCATGGAATGTTTTTCCATTTGTTTGTGTCCTCTCTTATTTCCTTGAGCAGTGGTTTGTAGTTCTCCTTGAAAAGGTCCTTCATATCCCTTGTAAGTTGTATTCCTAGGTATTTTATTCTCTTTGTAGCAATTGTGAATGGGAGTTCACTCATGATTTGGCTCTCTGTTTGTCTGTTATTGGTGTATATGAATGGTTGTGATTTTTGCACATTGATTTTGTATCCTGAGACTTTGCTGAAGTTGCTTATCAGCTTAAGGAGAATTTGGGCTGAGATGATGGGGTTTTCTAAATATACAATAATGTCATCTGCAAACAGAGACAATTTGACTTCTTTTCTTCCTATTTGAATACCATTTATTTCTTTCTCTTGCCTGATTGCCCTGGCCAGAACTTCCAGTACTATGTTGAATAGGAGTGGTGAGAGAGGGCATCCTTGTCTTGTGCCAGTTTTTAAAGGGAATGCTTCCAGCTTTAGCCTATTCAGTATGATATTGGTGGTGGGGTTTATCATAAATAGCTCATATTATTTTGAGATACACTCCATCAATACCTAGTTTATTGACAGTTTTTAGCATGAAGGAGTGTTGAATTTTTTCTAAGGTCTTTTCTTCATCTATTGAGATAATCATGTGGTTTCTGTCATTAGCTCTGTTTATGTGATAGATTACATTTATTGATTTGCATATGTTGAACCAGGCTTGCATCCCAGGGATGAAGCCGACTTGATCGTGGTGGACTCAGCTTTTTGATGTGCTGCTGGATTTGGTTTGCCAGTATTTTATTGAGGATTTTTGCATTGATGTTCATTAGGGGTATTGTCCTGAAATTTTCTTTTTTTGTTGTGTCTCTGCCAGATTTTGGTATCAGGATGACGCTGGCCTTAAAATTAGTTAGGGAGGAGTCTCTCTTTTTCTATTGTTTGTAATAGTTTCAGAAGGAATGGTACTAGCTCCTCTTTGTACCTCTGGTAAAATTCGCCTGTGAATCAATCTGGTCCTGGGATTTTTTTGGTTGGTAGGCTGTTAAATACTACCTCAATTTCAGAACTTGTTATTGGTCTATTCAGGGATTTGACTTCTTCCTGGTTTAGTCTTGGGAGGGTGTATGTGTCCAGGAATTTATCCATTTCTTCTAGATTATCTAGCTTATTTACATGGAGGTGTTTATAGTATTCTCTGATGGTAGTTTGTATTTCTGTGGGATCAATGGTGACATCCCTTTTATCATTTTTTATTGTGTCTATATGATTCTTCTCTCTTTTCTTCTTTATTAGTCTGGCTAGCGGTCTATCTATTTTGTCAATCTTTTCAAAAAAAACAGCTCCTGGATTCACTAATTTTTAAAGCGTTTTTGTGTGTTGTCTCTATCTCCTTCAGTTCTGCTCTGATGTTAGTTATTTCTTGTCTTCTGCTAGCTTTTGAATTTGTTTGCTGATGCTTCTGTAGTTCTTTTAATTGTGATGTTAGGGTGTCAATTTTAGATCTTTCCCACTTTCTTCTGTGGGTATTTGGTGCTATAAATTTCCCTCTAAACACTGTTTTTGCTGTGTCCCAGAGATTATGGTATGTTTTGTCTTTGTTCTCATTGGTTTCAAAGAACTTATTTATTTCTGCCTTAATTTCATTATTTACCCAGTTGTCATTCAGGAGCAGGTTGTTCATTTTCTATGTAGTTGTGAGGTTTTGAGTGAGTTTCTTAATTCTGAGTTCTAGTTTGATTGCACTGTGGTCTGAGACTGTTTCTTATGATTTCCGTTCTTTTGCATTTGCTAAGGAGCATTTTACTTCCAGTTGTCTGGTCAATTTTAGAATAAATGCGATGTGGTGTTGAGAAGAAGGTATATTCTGTTGATTTGGGGTGGAGAGTTCTTTAGATGTCTATTAGGTCTGCTTGGTCCAGAGCTAAGTTCATGTCCTGAATATCCTTGTTAATTTTCTGTTCCATTGATCTGTCTAATATTGACAGTGGGATGTTAAAGTCTCCCACAAATATTGTGCGGGAGTCTAAGTCTCTTTGTTGGTCTCTAAGAACTTGATTTATGGCTAGCCAGTTTTCCCAACACCATTTATTAAATAGGGAATATTTCCCCATTGTTTATTTGAATCTGAGTGATCCTGTATTGGGTGCATATATATTTAGGAGTTAGCTCTTTTTTTTGCATTAATCCCTTTACCAGTATGTAATGCCCTTCTTTGTCTTTTATGATCTTTGTTTAAAGTTTGTTTTATCAGAGACTAAGATTTCCACCCTTGCTTTTTTTTGCTTTCCATTTGCTTGGTAAATATTCCTCCATCCCTTTATTTTGAGCCTATGTGTGTCTTTCCACGTGATTTGTGTCTCTTGAATACAGCACATTGATGGGTCTTTTCTTTTTTTCACTCCCACTATCTAACCAGTCGCAATGAGATGAGCCAGATACTTTGGTTGGAAATGCAGAAATCGCCATCCTTCTGCGTTGATCTCGCTGGATCCGCAGACCGGAACTCTTCCTATTTGGCCATCTTGCCAGCCACCAAATTTCTCTAAATTCTTACACTACTTTAGGCTGATATGTCTGTAATGTGCAATAAAAAATACCCTTACTTATTCAGAGTTATTTTACAGATCAAATGATTTAAAGCACATAAAAGCACCTCATAAACTATAAAGCTCTGTACAAATATATTGTGTTATTATCATAATGACATAATACTTTCCTCATGTTGACTCAGTACTTATGAGTGCCTTTTTCACCTTTATTCAGAGATCTTTAGTCACTAATATGATTCACTAAGTAGTGGAGAGAGACAATTAAATTACTTTCAGAACATTTCAGATCCAAGGAAAAAGTGCGGCTATGAATGAATTTGAAGCTGGAGAATTTCATTGTAGGACCACTGTATAAGTAAGCTTAAGATTTAAAAATTATGTATCATCTCATATTATGAAAATGAACACTCTTGATGCCTATGCAAAAACTAAAATTGTTTTACATAAATTATCACATATTAATTTAAGAATATCATGCTAAGAAGAAGGAACATTTTGAACCCAGTAACAGACAGCAAAGATCCTTTTGTAGGCATGGGAAATAAAGTAGCATTGTAGAGGATTTTGGAAGGCTATCTTATTTAACAAAGGTTTTACAAGCCACAGTACTTGATGTATTTTTGTTCATTATTTTTCTGTCACTTTAGCAGGCACAAAAAACAACATATTTATATTCAAATAAAGTAACTACAACATTCTTTACTCTTTATTCCCCTTATTATGCTAACGGATATGCCATGTCTTAACAATTCTATGCTTCCCTGGTACTTCTCTTTTATGTTCAGTTTCTGATCCTCCTTTAAAAAACTTCACACTGCTCTTATTTTCCTATAAACTCTAACTCATCAAATCAAAAACAATAAAAATCACAGATCTATTCCCTCCCCAGGAAGATTTCAGCCCATCTTAAAAGAAAATTAGGCCATATACTTTTGCAAAATGTGATTTCTATTTTAATTCTTCGTATTTTATTCTAGGGAATACCTCAGTGTAATATAGTTGTTGCTTCTAGTTCACTGCATACTGACTTTTCATTCTCTCAATATTACCTATTTAAAGTAATTAATCAACTTTTATTTAAAGATATCCTAAATTTATGCTATTTTAATATGTTGTTTTACAAAAACAACTCTTTCTGTAAATACTTTTAAACAAAGCTGTGGGTGGTTGTTCATTGAATCAAATCCTCCACTTTTTAAATTCATATTTCATGTATTTTGGTATTTGTCCCTCCAAATCTCATGTTGAAATGTAATCCCCAATGTTAGAGGTGGGGCTGGGTAGGAGGTGATTGGATCATGGGGATGGATTTCTCATGAATGATTTAGCACTATCGCCTTGGTGCTATCCCCAGGATAGCAAGTGAGTTTGCATGAGATCTAGTTGTTTAAAAGTGTGTTGCACCTGCCCCCAACCCACTTGCTCTCACTCAAGCCCTGTGATGTGCCTGCTCCTAATTCACCTTCAGCCATCAATAAAAACTCCCCCAGGGCTCCTCAGAAGCCAAGCACATGCCAGCACCATGCTTTCTGTACAGCCTGCAGAACTGTGAGCCAATTAAACCTCTTTTCTTTATATGTTACTCAGTCTCAAGTATGCCTTTATAGCCATGCGAGAATGTCCTAATGCAATATTGTAGTTACAGGTAGTTAGACAGGCATGAGCGAGGCAGGAGAGGCCTCTCCCTTCCTCCACCCACCACGAATGTCAGGTGACCATCAGGTGATGGTTCTGCGGTTATCACACTGCTTCACTAAAAATAATTTGGCAGCCAGTGCCAGGGAGAGGCCATTTTCTAATGGTCCACACATGTCACACTAAAGTGTTAATTGATTATAGGCACCAGGTAGGGGCAACTTTCCAAACAGATAAAAATACTTGAGATTAGTAATGAATCTGCTTCCAATAAAATTTCAGGAATTGGGCGAGTGAGCCCAGGCATGCAGATTAAGAGACAAAATGACGGAGTATGGTCTTCTGGAGGCATTCCACCAGAAAAGGGAAGAAAACCTCACATGGCCATGTGTACAACTTCCTAAACGCACTGTGCGTGCTCACCTCCCAAGTGTAAGGAGAGCACTGTGCATGTGGGTGGCTTGCCCTTAGGGAAAAATGAAGGGAAAGGGGAGCAAGCCACTGGAGGTGAGCAAGCATGTATAGTTCTAGAATCAAGGTTAAACGCCACACTTGTCCATCAAGTTGCCCACTTGGGTCTCTTCCAAGTGTAGTTTCTTTTTTTTTTTTCTGTTCTAAAGTTTTTTAATAAACTTCTACTCCTGCTCTGAAACTTGCCTTGGTCTCTTTTTCTGTCTTATTCCCTTCAATTGAATTATTTTTTCTGAGGAGGCATGAATTGAGGTTTCTGCAGACCCCTACAGATTCACCGTCAGTAACTTGGAGACCTACCCCTAACAATATGACTATAATATACTTTAGTGGATGTGAAAGGAACCTAGTTGAAAAGTGGAGAAAAATCAGATTTACTAATGACTTATTCAAAAGGGCAATAGATCTAGTAGTGCATAAAGCAACTATATCCTGTGATTCCCCAGATGCAGACAAAATTATTGCTATTTTTTCTTAAAAAAAGGATTGAGTTGAATTTCACTTCCTGCTAAAAAATGAATTGGTAAAGCCTTCTATTCCTAACATTTATTAAGTGCTTATTATACGATAATTGCTGATATATTCTAGATGCTGTTTTATATGTATCATGAAGGTCATCTTAATTAGAAATGTCATGTAAATCGAAAGTATTATAAGAATTATAGTCATTACTATAAGAATCATGATTTTTCAGGGAACTTTTTCTTTTGATTCCAATATGCAAATTATCCTCTGTCAATAGAAAAAAAAACTTATTTTATCTTCAATATAGCTTAGCTCTTGATTACTCAAACTTTTTTTAAATCTTTTTCATTATCAGTGCATTACCTATTTCATGTTCTTCCAAATTACCCATTATAATGATTTCTTATTTCATCCTGAATTATAAATTTGAACATTTTAGTGTATCTTACTGGAATTATTTCACTTTCATGAGAACTTTTAAATTATACAATATAATTTAACTTCTATACCTATGCATATTAATCATAAAATTCATAAAGTAGAAATTCAAAGATAAAAAACAAAATTCAAAATAATAAAGAAAATAAAACACAGTTACATGTATGTTTCATCTTTAGAAGTAAGTATTAACAGACCTTTTGAGGACATAAGAATTTATAATCAATCCAGACATTTGGCATTAATAGAGTAGAATAGATCTGCCAATACATCCATATATCTTCTGATCTTTGATTTCACTAGCAGTTTCAATTGTTAACTTGAAAAGGGAATTAAAAGCTCTTTATACATGCCTATTAGCATTTGCAGTGGCTAATTATGCATTTATAATCATGAATAGATAAAATAAAATATTATTTATTAAGAACTCATTGATTTTATACTAGTGCTCATTTTGACCACATTCAAAAATGTTTCTCTAATGACCATTTGAACCCCACACTTCCAAAACATATGCTTGTTTATGAGCTATATTTTACTCTTCCCACCATCAGTTAGCTAACAAAAATGACCAAAGAAATTAAGTATAGAAGATATTTAGGTCCTTTGAATTTTTGAAATTATAAAATCCCCATGACAAAATTCAATATGCAATTTTAACTGTATCCATTGCAAATGAGACTAGATTAAAGCAAGTACAAATAGACCAGTTTAATCACTTCCTTTTGAAAACATGGCACAAGCTTCCTGAAAATGTTAAAATAAGCTTTGGGAAGAGAGTAAATATCACACCAAATAAATATGGGCTGTTGGCAAAGCTTAATAGTTATTGAGACTACATCCACTTTAGGCGATGTGTGCACAATGGCCAATAAACAGGCGTTAACATGAGCAAGACCAAAGGCCTCTAAACATATAAGGTTTTTCTCTCACCCTATTTCAAAATATACAGACAGCTGGGACTGTATTTGTCCTGATTTTTCATCAATGTGTATCATGCAGCCTACCATGTAAAAGCATTTTTTGTTGATGTTTTTGTCAAAACACTGCAAAATGATGGGAACTGTCCTCAACACAGTGGATAGAAGCTTTGCAACATTGACCAAAGCTACACCACTGATGCAGCATTTTCTATAGGCAATGGTTTCCACAAACACAGGGTTGACTGGGGGAACATGTTCATGTAGATTCTCACACTCAGGTTTCTCCTGGCAAGAGGTCACTCCAGCTGTTCTCCAGATGACAGAGCCTGTGGACTTCAGACCGTAGTACCCAACTTTTCACAGGGGTTTGACAGCAACCTCACAGTTAACTTTCGCTACTTGTTTTCAAATCACCTCTAGTTAGTTCATAGAGTAAGTCTTGCATATGACTATAAATTTAAATGACTCAAACTCTGGATTCGGTAAAAGCTTACAAGGCAGCCTTTTAGCCAATGTGTATAAAAAGGAGGCCTTTATTATCAAGATAAATTATTATATTTGGAAGTTAGAATGAGGGACCAGCTTTAATAATATTCTTGTAAAATACAAGGAGAAAGAATTTTAAAAATTTTGGCTTTATGAACTGAATAAAAAACACAATGACAAGATGAAAAGACTTAAGAACAAGAATTTGAAATAGAAAAACATTAATCAAGCTTTTCAAAGGGAATACTAAACATTAAACATGAAAAGGAAAACTTACATTGTAATAAAATTATATTAGAAATGGTCTGAAGAAAAGCAATGCGAAACCAACTTGAAGAAAAAAAATAATCATTGTTCTGAAAAAGGCACTATTTTATGATGACCAGGCAATGTTAGAACTTTATACAAAAGAAAAAACTAATACAGTTAGTTACTTTTAAGCCATAATCTAGGTGATTATAAATTATATTTTGTTATATCTTGAGGTCTGTGCCAAACATATATCAAAATACAAAAGGAATAAACTCAGAAATCAAACTTGAATGAAATGCCCAGATAATCGAAGGTAATGGCAAATTTTGGAAAGGTATTCCCTAAAATACACAAAAGGGAGTCAAAAGTAAATTCTATTGAGTATAATATTCTAAAAAGCTGGACTAATTATGTGCTTTACACAAATTTGATGTTTGAATGAAGGTAAAATTCACTATAGAATCATGAGACTGTTGGAATGTAAGTAACATTTGCATGGGTGATAACAAAAACTATATTTTATATGAGAAAACAAATCTAGGAGGATTTTAGAGTTGGAGCGTATGAGAAACAATAACAGAGTAATTGCAAGTCATAATAGACCAAATATCAGTTGAGATACATGTTAGACTGATAAGTGAAAATTACTTCTTATTCAAAAATACACTACTCTAGGTGAAAATGACCAAGTTTTCTTAGAATGTTAATTATAGTTACAATAACACATAAGACTAATTATATAATTTCTAGAGCCTAAGGTGGGGCTCCTTCTTTTAAAATCATTAAGAAATTTAAGAAGCATTAAATGAAGTGTAAAGTCTCTTCAGCTTGGGACCTTATGAAACTGCAGAGGTTGCATGCTAATGAAACCTCGTCAGGAAATAGGAATCATTGTCGTGAAAATGTGCCTATCAGATATCTGACTGCAGGAAACATAATTGAGCATTGGACACAGTTGCTGTGCCCCGAAGTCCATTACAGCACACTCAGCACGGTCATACTTTCAATAGGATCCTCTCAGCAAGGACTGAGTGTCCCTGTTAGGGTTAGTGAAGATATCTCATTCCTGGGAGATATAACACACGTTATCAGCTGAAAAATCCAGAGGTCTTCATAAAGTTGGAAAGGAGAATTATTTCTTTTCTATTTATTTCTTGTAAAGCATCACAATCTTCAAGATTGCCCTTCCGACAGGCTGGGAATATTAGCCTCCAGCAGAGGAGATTAGCAGGCACTTCAAGGGAGAGGAGAGTGAAACAGGGATTTATGCTGAATGGGTTGGCCACGTATACATATTCAGTAGGTTAAGGGGGATTTCTGATTATTTATAAAAGTGGTTCTAACACATGCATACCAAATAACCATGCATGTTACATATAACTCATGTTCACTGAGTCGTATGTAACATATGAAAATTTTTTTTTTTTAAGACGGAGTCTCACTGTCACCCAGGCTGGAGGGTAGTGGCTTGATCTCGGCCCACTGCAAGCTCCGCCTCCCAGGTTCAAGCCATTCTCCTGCCTCACCCTCCCGAGTAGCTAGCTGAGACCACAGGCGCGTGCCACCACTCCCGGGTAATTTCTGTATTTTTAGTAGAGACGGGGATTCACAGTGTTGCCCAGGCTGATCTCGAATTCCTGAGCTCAAGCAATCCCGCCCAGCTCGGCCTCCCAAAAGTGCTGGGATTACAGGCGTGAGCCACGGCGCCCGGCCATGAAAACATTTGAAGGCATCGCAATTAGATCCTACATGTCAAAAGGTGAAGCAGGGACAGGAAGGCACGGTAATGTGCAGCCCTGTGAAACTGGCCAGAAACAGTTCATGGTTAGTGGCCTCTTCTAAGGAGAGTTATAGAAATCAGTCTCTTGTCCAATCCAAGCTGTAGTTATGGTTTGTGGAACAAAGGGTCAGATAGTCAGTGACTGGTAATGAGCTTCAGTTGTTTGAATTTTGTTTTATCTCAAGGCTAGTGCTTGTTTAGCTGCCAGAGAAAAAGAAAAGCCTTGTGGTAATTAGAGCATAGTTTGTTCTTTAAGCGTACGGGGTGTATGGCTTAACCCTTGCTTGGCATGACCTCAGGTCCTGTTTATAATTTGATATCTTATTGCCGCAGATGGTTTGTTCCGTTAGTCTTATGACCTCTATTGTAACATTAATGCTGGTCAGTTGTTGCATCTAAACAAAAAAGGTAGGGGCTGTAACAAGATGTGTCAGGCTTCCCATCCCATCCTGGCTGGGAACTCAATTTTTTTTTTTTTTTTTTTTTTTTTTTTGAGACGTAGTCTCGCTCTGTCACCCAGGCTGTGGCGCGATCTCGGCTCACTGCAAGCTCTGCCTCCCGGGTTCATGCCATTCTCCTGCCTCAGCCTCCCGAGTAGCTGGGACTACAGGCGCCCGCCACCACGCCAGGCTAATTTTTTTATTTTTTATTTTTGTAGAGACAAGGCTTCACCGTGTTAGCCAGGATGGTCTCAATCTCCTGACCTCATGATCTGCCAGCCTCAGCCTCCCAACATGCTGGGATTACAGGCGTGAGGCACCGCGCCCGGCCCGGAACTCAAGTTTTAAGGTTTCTTTAGGGTCCCCTTGGCCAAGAGTGGATCCATTCAGTTGGTTGGGGGACTTAGGATTTTATTTAGTTTTCAGTTTAGTTTACAACAGATGACTTAGGCTTGAAAACTTATCACTGTTCTTGCTATATCTTTGTTGGTACTGTACCACTGTCGATAAGATTTCTTTTTTTTCTATCCGACGTTTCTCACTGAGTCAGCCCTGCCTCATGGTGTGATGACTTTCCTGAACTTTTTAGGCTCCCACCCATTCTCTCTTGCCTAATAAATCTCTTGCACGTTTAATGCTATTTTCTTTGCTTCTTGGAGGACTCAAACTAAAGCATGTGGTTCCAGCAGTGATCTGAAGCAAAGAGGCTGCATTCTGAAATCGCTTACTCATCACATGGTTAGCCGACATGATGATATCCAGAGTTGTATGTATGGCATATATAGTGTGGCAGTGGAGGTTTACTAAATACTTCACTGAGGTGCCCTGGGAAATGTTACACATGCGAGAGTTACGCTTGCAGGGGCAATGCTCCAGGTACTAGAAAATTATGGACCATAGCATTGATGGCTGGTTATTTCTGACATTCTGCAGAGGGATGAGAGACTTAAGGTGATTAATATCAGATAAATTTTGAGAGTCAAAGTGCCTATGTTGCAGCTTATGAGTAGTACTTTATCTCCTGTAGTTGTAAGATAAACATAGCTGAGCAGAAAATAAAGTATCAAGTATTTAGAGGTACAGAATTAGTGAGTATTTAAATACTCATGACTGACATATTACAGTCAACCATGGGAGTATCACAGATACTGAATATCGAGGCTGCTTGATTAAGGATGTGAGCTGACAGAAATAGGTAATTATTTTTATATTTACATGAAGTGTGTAATTATGTCCTGTCTCCCAGTAGACCAAAGAAGACAGAGGCTGATGGAAATGTGCATGCTGGCATTCCTCATATCCTTGGGAAGTGGTGTGTTCTTTTTGTCTTCCCAGTGGAACACAATCTTCTGGCTATTTTCCTCACCTCGCTGCCAGAGAATTGCATTTTAGGAATGTGTTGGTGTAGCAATGCCAGCATTGCTACAGGAAGCCAAGCAATGTCTCTTCATTGCCGGCTAGGTAAAACATTAGGAGTAGTGATTACAGTGCTGAGTTCATCAACATCCATGTGACCCCACACTAATAGAGGCCAGTTGACAGTACTTAATTACCAGGAGCCAGAAGGCTGCAATTACTGTAATACATAACAAATTTGGAAGGGCAGGCAAGGAGACTGCCAGCTGGGAATTGTGTCGATGGTTAATAGATAATGGTATCCCTTGGGATCTTCAACAATGATGCACATGTAGGTGTGAGAGTGGTTACCTCAACCAAAATGCCACATTCTCAGTTCCCAGACCTTAATTAGTTTTCACTTGTGAAATCCATTGACTGAAGAGGAGTCTGAATGCTTAGTAGGAAGTATTCTGCAACTGCATGGTAAGCTTATCCACACTTATTCCCCCAGTTCTTCTCCAAAAGAACCTATGGCCATTTAGTCAGTTGACTGTACGATGAGGAAAGGAGAATGAGTAGAAATTTTGAAAACTGTTGAACACAAAGTTCTGATATGACATGAATACCCAGACACCCATGTATCACCATGAGCTTCCTGTGAGAGTGGGGGTTTATGAGGAACAAGTAATAAATGACACCATGCTTTACAGTGGGTTACAGATCCACTGATAATATTCCCCCTACCTATCGTCTATAAGTAGGATTTATAGACATGATAATTGGAATAATTTCTACATTGCATCCCTGCATGTGCAGTGAGAGCTAACTTAATGGGAATATGCAGTCAAAATCTCTGAAATTGCCAACTCCCATCTCTCAACTCCACAAAGCAATACTTTGTTAGAAAAATCAATGTATTGGCCTGTAGCAAATAGAGAGGAAGATACTCTGATCCAGCAAAACGTGGCAGAGGTAGACTAAGGATAAATTGAGAATTAAGTTAAAAATATCTTTAACAGCTGTGTCTACTTCAAAGGATTAGAGGAACAACAGAGGAAAATTAAACATTAAAGAAAGATTAAAAGGATATGTTCTTGCTATAGTGAAGGAGGTAGCAAATTTGGAATGTTTTTGCAGTCACTGATGTAGTGCAAGTTATTTAAGTCCTTGGAAGCTGAAATGCTGAAGGAAGGCGATGCTTTGGGGAGGACCACCTGGCTAAGTACATGTAGTTTCTTACTGGGTGCATAAGGTTACAAAAATTGGACACATCAAGGAAGCAGCTTCAGTTCAGAAATCTGTTGATGATGATTCTCCAGCTGGTAGAAATGTTCGAACAAGAGGGGAGCCTTTTCAAAAGCCTCAATTTATGGACTAAATAATTCAGGAGGAAAAAGAAAGAAGGAGAATGAAGAAAGACACCCGGTAGAATGCATTCCAAAAATTTCTTAAGCTTCTCCAGAGACTCAAGCAATGCAGACAGAATAGCATGAAATGGGAATCAGATAAAAGCTGGGATGTTAACGGTGACCTGTCCTAAATTTGGAGTGCCCTGGTCAAAATAGAAAATTTATTCTGTCCCTGGAAGAGCTCATCTCTGCATTGTAATTCCTGCATGAAATTGTTAGAGAAGGAAATGGAAATTAAATGATTTCAAATATTCAGAAGGTCAATTAACGGGGAGAAGTTGCCATTAAAGAAGTCATTGCAGAAAATACAGGCATAGGAAAGGATCATAATTAATTTCCTGGTGGATGATTTCTGTTATCTGATTTTCAATTTTTTTCATAAGCTCTAGTCAGCTTGCATGGACAGATTAGATTTAGTATGAAACTAAGATGATTTTGTTTTCTAAAATAGAATAATAAATATTAGAGAATGATATTCTTTGAAGCAATCATTTTCTTCATCGACTTGAAATATAAGAGTGCAGAGCTAGAGGTTTGATATCCCTCTGTCCTTTGGAATTAGGCAAATGTGAGGTGCTTGAGAAGTACAGTTTAGATAAATTTTATAAACTGACTTTAGGTATTCTTATAAAGGGTCAGCTATTACAAAGAATAAAGTCCAAAATGAAGCTATATGGATGGAAAGCGTAACTAACCTGGGGTTCAGACAAATACTGGAGACACGTATTGCTTTCCTTGCCCAGCAGCTTTCCTTCAAAGACACATTGATTTTGCATGTGCAATTACGAATTATGTAATAATTACCACTTTTTAAATTCTTATCACCTTGACTGATCTATTGATTGATCTAGGGATTTTGATTTCACCAAAGTTACACTAAACAATTTTCCAAAACTAATAGTGGGGCTCCATGTTTCTCTGGGTAGAAGCATGCTCAGTTTTTACCACTGGCATTGTTTCCTGGCATGTGTTGGAAACTTGCTTGGGAGAAAGAAGCCAATAAGGAATGGGAAATACTGACAAAAGATGAAGTGAAAGAGATTTCACGGTGAAGCACCTAGAATTTGATGCTGAGGATAATCTATCCTCTTGCTTTTGCTAGAGTTATGTGAGTTTTCCAATAAGTAATATTTGGCCAATGATACTTTGACTTGGGATTTCCTACAGAGCTTCTATTAAAGAAAAAAAAAACAGAAGATGATTACATTTAGAAATGTTGACTTTCATAAAAATTTTTAATAATTTTTTCGACAGTAACTTATAATTTAAAAATAGGTATTACTTGATATTGGGTAGGAAATGGCAAAATTAATACTTCAGTGATTTTGCTAGTGTTGACATCATTTTCTTTGAGATATACCAACAGTTATTTCAGTAGATAAACACCTCATAAGGGAAGGGGGTTTATCTGTTTTGTTTTCTACTTATCTTCAATATCTAACTCAAAAATAACTCAATACATATTTTTTGAATTCTTAAATGTACTATGCATTTTACTAAAATGACTAAGAGTTACGACGGATAATGCAGTTGATCTAGGAATAGGAGAAAAGCTCAGCTTAAAATAGTGCATAGCGGCTAGGCGAGTTGGCTCACCCCATAATCCCAGAACTTTGGGAGGCTGAGGCGGGCGGAACACCTGAGGTCAGGAGGTCGAGACAAGCCTGGTCAACACGGTGAAATCCCGCCTCTACTAAAAATACAAAAATTAGTTGGGCATGGTGACGGGTGCCTGTAATCCTAGCTTCTTGGGAGGCTGAGGCACGAGAATCACTTGAACCTGGGAGGCGGAGGTTGCAGTGAACTGAGATCACGGCTTTGCACTCCAACCTGGGCAACAGAGTGAGACTCCATCTAAAAATATATATATAATAAAAATAATGCAGCTGGGCACAGTGGCTCACACCTGTAATCCGGCACTTTGGGAGGCTGAGGTGGCGGATTACCTGAGGTCGGGAGTTCGAGACCAGCCTGACCAACATGGAGAAATCCCATCTCCACTAAAAATACAAAATTAGCTGGGTGTGGTGGCACATGCGTGTAATTCCAACTACTCGGGAGGCTGAGGCAGGAGAATCAGTTAAACCCAGGAGACAGAGGTTGAGTCGAGTCGAGCTTGCGCCATTGCACTCCAGCCTGGGCAACAAGAGCGAAATTCTGTCTAATAATAATAATAATAATGCATAGCATTAACATTGACTTTATTAATGTCCTCTTATGATTCTTTTAAGAAGCTTCTGGATCTAATAGCAAATGAACATTTTCTAAAAGGTAGAGCTGCCTATTTTACTGGTCATATTAAAGATAGAATTGGTTGAAGTTTTCACATAGAAACATCAGACTTTCCCTGACTTACAGCAATTCTTCTCTGCTGAGGAGGACATAGTGAACAATACCTTTGTTGATATTCTTAAGTAATTTGATAAAATGAATTTGATAAGCACATGCTATCTGCAATGAAGGTAAAGTGATTTTGAAGTCAGGTAAGGACTGGCTCATTCTCTGCCTTTTTTAGGCAATGAGAGATACTGTATTAATATACAGTGTTTGCTTAACATACAAACACTAATTATCTTTTTTACTTTAAAAATATATAATTGTTTGAAATCAATTATTAAGACAGCATATAGTTGAATAATTGTTTATCCCTTTTGGCAATTTCTATCTTTTTATTGGTGTATTTAGGTCATTTACATTTATATCATTTACATTATTCCAATCATTGAAACATTTGGAATTACTTCTATAATTTCCTTATTTGTTTTCCTTTGTTCCCTCTGATTTACATTGTGTTTCCTTTGGGTCATTTGAACATTTTTTAGTAATGCATTTTAAGATATATAATTTTGATTTTATCTCAATACCAGTTTCTTTTAGTAGTTGCTTTGGAGATTGCAACATATGTACTCAAATTTCACACTCTGTGTGCAACCAACATTTACCATATCAGTCCCTGTATATCTAATTAGTTTTATAATATATTTCATCTACATCCAGTGAAAATCAAGTTAGGCAGTGCTATAATTTTTGCTTTCAATCATCAAGTGTGTTATAAAAACTCAAAAGGTAAATTAGTATATCTGCCCATGTTAGTTGTTCTTACTTCACTGCAAAGGCTCCAAGTCTCTCACTGGCATTATTTCCATTCAGTCTGAATAATTTATTTTAATAGCAATCCTTTTATAGCAGATTTGCAGATAATAAGTTTTCTCACATTTTCTTCGTCTGAAAATGTCTTTATTTCATATTCATTTCTAAATTATATATCCAATAGAACTAGAATTTTCTTTCACCACTTTAAAAATAGTATGTCCCTTTTTCTTTATTATTAATATTTTTATTAGGACTCTGATGTCCTACAAATTTTTGCTCCCTTGCAGGTTATGTGTCATTTTGCTCTGGCTACATTCAGAATTTTTTCTTTTTCTTAGTCTGGCACAGTTTTGTTATTATGTAGTTAATCATGGCATTATTTGAATTAATGTTATTTAAGATTCTCTGACTTTCTTGAATTTATAGATTTAAGTTTTTTGCCAAATCTAGGAAACTTTCAGCCATTAATCTTGTAAATATTTTCAGCACCACCTTCTTTCTCCTTTCCTTCTGGAACTCCTATTACATAAATATTTATCATGGTGTTAATTTCTTACAGGTCCCTGAGGATTGCTTCTTCTTTTTTGCACCTTCTCCATCTCTGTTGTTCAGATTGGATAATGTCTGTCGATTTAACTTGACGTTCAATGTCTCTTCTGTCATTTTCATCCTGCTGTTAAGCTCATCTAGTGCATTTTTCAGTAAGTCTGTTTTATGTTGTGTCCGTTAACATTTCCACTTAATTCTCCTTTATATGTTTCATTTATTTTTTGAGGTTTTCTGTTTCATTTTGTTTTGCTTCTGCTCAAGAGTGAGCCTAGGAGTTCATGGAAAACTTTAGAGGGTCACTTTCCCACCCACTGATGCCTTGTAATCTTCCTAGAGCTTTCTGGTTCTCTGGGGCTCTTCTTTCTGCTTCTTTATCTAGAAAGTTTGGCTTTACTTACCAGAATCTCTGGCACACTTCGATGACTATACCTATCTCAATCTTTAAGTTTTAGAAGGGGAGAGAGAGAGAAAGAGAGAGAGAGAGAAAGAGAGAGAGAGAGAGAGATAGAGAAAGAGAGAGAGAGGTCTAAGAGCAATAGTGGTTTGTTCCAGCCTCTTGGGACCACTGCCTTACCACTAAGAAAGGAATATTCACCTATAAGAGTTCCAACTCTTGTAATACGTTGTTGTAATCTCCGTGAATCCCTCCACTCTGTGATCCTGAGTTCACTTTTCAGCTCCTTGAATCAGACAAAAGCTTTTCGTGGTGTTCTCTTCCTTTGAACATGAATTCTCACTTTTGTGTAAACCACAAATATGTCTGCGTAGTGTCCTGGCCCTGAAAACAGGGACAAATTGTTGGTAACTTACCACTAGTTCAGTGTCGACTTGAATTCTTCCTCAACTAGTCTACTTTTCACAGTCCTGGGATAGTAGCTTCATACAGGCTCAGCAGGTTCAATGTTTGTGTTCTGTGTTCTGTGGGAGAAATTAGGTAAAATATGCTTACTTCATCTTACTGGGAACCAGGACACAAACATTCTTGTATTGTGATCAGAATATGTATGCATTTTATATGTTGCATTGAAGAAAAAATTAGATGATAAAATCATTTTGATAAAACATTGCTAATGCTCACCCTTTCACCATCTCCAATTGATAATATAGATTATTTAGTTTGATAATTTTTTGCTTCTTATCATACGGACTGTGCAATTTCACAGAGCTAGTAAATGATTATGATTAATTAATTTCAAAGGCGTGGTCATAATAACATATCTAACACTTGAACTTGGATACCTTCCACATTCTACTATCCCATCCACATTCTACTATTCCATGCACATTCTACTATTCCATCCACATTCTACTATCAAGACTTTTTCTTCATCATTGATTTTTTAAAATTCTTAACATTTAAAAATGCTATCTCATTCATGGAAACACCTATAGGTCTCTTCTATGAGTTATTAAGAAAATCTGTCATCAGTTTAAAATAACCCTTGATTTAAATAGAATGTTAAGTTAAAAAAAATACAACAGTGTACTTCTGTCTTTTACAGCTGTAAACTTTATGTCTTTTGAACGGAAAAAAATGTTGGCATCTCCCCCAAAAAAACTCCAATCATCATATCACGTATTTCCCATGACTATATGTATGAAAGAACAGGCATTGTTTCTTTTTCGTAATATATACATTATCTCAGCCTCATATCCATGCAAACACCACACAAAGAACCAGAACTAATGGTTTAAAAAATAAATTTCTAACAGAATATGTAAAACCTGGTACTTCAAATTTTCTAGTAATTTTGAAGCTCTATAAGCATACATTTACAGTAAAGTCCTCTATTATATCTTTAGGTTTTATCTAGAAAGAGCTAAGTTTATCTATGCCATGTATTTGTAAAGAATATATATATAGGTTATACAAGTTTCCCTATAATTTATACATTAATGTATGTGTCCATTGTAATAAAAATAGATTTTATGGGTCTGCTAACAAAATTATATTTGAAAGTACATTTCCATTTTATTTTGACAAAATTAACATAATTTCAACTAATTATTTTCTTATATTATTTGTGGTATAGTTAATTTCTTTTACATAATTTTAAATAACTGTTGTTATTTACAATAAATCTGAATATTTCATCTTATCAAATGCATCAATTTTAAGAACAAACCCATGCTTTTAGTATAGATGGTATGATGAGTAACTCAAATTTAGTATCATAACAAGCAAATTCACACTGAGCTACTTTTGCGTAACTGTATACATTTTTCCTCATTAATGTATCTTCCTGTTATTAAAACTCTATTACTTTGGAATTTGAAAATGAGTCTGAAATAAAACAGTGAAGGTTGTATTTAGCATTGTTACTTTTCTGACATCAGAATGATCGGGATGACCTATTAGGATTTTTCTTTACTTCTTTTTAAAAATATTGCTTGGGGCCATTGAGATGGCTTTAAATTTATCCTGCTGAGAGGCTAAGCAGAAAGGATTAATGTGGGGTATGTTCTTGCATTTATAAGAGCTAAAGTAGGTTGTTGAGAAGCAGAACACCACAAATCTGAAGGTACATTTAGCAATGACTTTAACAGATTATCACCCAATTTTGAGAAGGAGGGGAAAAAATATGTCCTCCAGCAATTTTATTCATTCATATATAATTGGAAAGCTATGATATAGACATGTAAGCTGATTTCTCAAGAGTAATTATTTAGATTCTCCATTTTCAAAAGAACTAGTTGCAGGAGCAGTTGTATTTTTTTGCCTCATCATCTAAACATCTATTAAATCTTCTTCCATTAAAATTTGATCTTTTGTGGGAACTGCTGTGAACAAAAATGCAACAAAGAGGCTTTTCCTCAGGTTCTTTTGCCTTACTTCACTTTTGTAAATGAGAAATACTTAAATGTGCCAGAGAATCAAAATTTCCTGCAGGGCAATTTTAGCTTTAGCTGCAGCAGCAGAAAGAATTGCCTTTTTAAAGCCTATCCTTTGTTTCTCTGGGATGAGTTTTTATTATACTTCATGATAGATACCTCGTTTTTAAAAAGTATGTATATATGAGTTAGACACTGACTATAAAGTACCTAAAGGTTGAATATTGCTACTCTTTCCGATTTTTGTATTCTACTTAATTAAACCATAATTATAAAAGATTTTATATTTCTTCTTAATTTTTATTTGTTTCCAAGTTAAGTTTAGTTATTGTGAATAAAACAATGCAATCACTTTCAATTTATATTTCCAGAGACTTTCATTTTTTAAATCTTTAGTACACTGAGCTAGTGGAATTTTTTTCTAATAGGATTTTCAGTTTGGTTAGGGTCAAGACTAGGATATTGTCATACATATTTAACTTTTTCAAATAACATTTTGTAGAGGATAAAATAATACACAGCTGCATATTAAATAATTTTGATTTGTTATATATAATATATAATATATATTTTATATATTTATATATATATATATGCTTCTCAGTTATCCTCTGTGTTTCTTTTAGTTGCTGGAATTTATGGGGAGAGATCCATGTATTTAAACTACTATTCCATGGTGGATTGAATAAATGCCCAGATAATTAAATGTCATTTAAAAATTTTAAATACTCAGTAAGGCTTTTAAGAAAATTTGAATAAAATTATGTAAAAGTTTTTCTTCTAGGTACAAAAAGATGTTGAGAAATTGAGCTCCTCAGTGAGAGTAGCCAGGATAAGTAGAAATCGGAAAGCATTAAAATACCAAAAATAAAGTTGGTTTATTAAAAAGTAGGAAATTATTGGTTTTTAAACTCTCTTCTAATATTATAAAACTGATATACTAAAGATGCCTTAAGACATCTTAGGGAAGAATTGAAAGCAGGCAAGTGAAAGTGGCTAAAAGAGAAATCTTGGGTCAATATTAGAAAGTATTTTCTAACGACTAGTCATTTCCCTTCTGATGTGCAATACATAACAATCAGGGACATTGTAAAGGGGTTTCAGCATTAGAAGAGAAATCATATTAAAGTCATCTCTGAGGACATCTGAAACTAACAATCTATGAGTTCAAAGTGTCCATTCTACTTTTAATTAGCCTCAGCACATTTACTTCATTTTGTTTTTAGTTCAAAGAAGATAATGGAAATAAAATCACAACTGTATGTCATCCTTTTATATCAGAAGAAAAATAGTTTTAATTAGGTTTAGTAATTTTAAAAAGTCAAAAGTTTAAAGGGAGTGAATGTCATCATTTTCCTGTGAAAATTATCCATTCATATCATTGTTGCTTACCAATCAAATAGACATAATTATAATAAATATTATGTGGACAATCATAAGCAGATAAAAAATTGTCTGTTTTGTGGTGTTTAATTAGTAGTCCAAATGGCTTTTAGAAATTGAATTCTGTTAGAATACCACCTAATATGTTAATTTATTACATTGTATTATGATAGTGATTTATCATGTTATAATAACAGAAAAATGTAAAGAAAAATGTGAGGAACTATTTTATTCAGCTGTAAAATACAGAACAAATGGTATGAATATAATAATTAATCAGAGGATTCATTGTTATCAAGGATGTGTATAAATGCGCTACTTGCTACATTTCTGGTGAGTGTTTAAATTTCTAGAGTTGATTGAAGGGCAATTTGAGGAAGCATATTACTTTAAGATGTTAATAGCTTTTTACTTCAGAGTTCCAAATATAGGATTTTATCTGAGGAAATTGATCATAGCAATACATGTGGTAGTTGCTATTGCAAGACTGTTTATAGTGTTGAGTATAAATGACATATACTAAAAACTACTACTATAAATTGATGATGTCTAAACATACATTAACTGGCTTAAAACTCACAACAACCGTATACTTTAGCTACAAATGGCATTTGCATTTAACAGGTGCTGAAATAGAGGCACAAAGAGGTAACATAACTTGCCCAGCATAATAAAGGCTAAAAGCAGAAAAGTGAAGATTTATATCAAGAAAAATGATTTAAATTGATTCCAATACCTAGCTCTTAGTATTCTTATAATATTGTCTAAGTGACAAAAGCATATTAATTTAATAATGGGATACTCTGCACCCATAAATCGTAATTTTGCTTGTAACATTTAATACTGAGAAAAATAGCATGTTAGAAAGATTTTATATCCTAAAATAGATTTAAGAATCTTAATGTTTTAAGTCAGTTAATCCTCTAAATACCCCTATAAATTAGACAATATTTACATCTCATATTTATAGGTAATAAAACTGAGACAGAGAGATGAATTAACTTATAAAAATTTACTTAGCTAGTTAAGTGAAGGTAGGTTTCAATCTAAGCACATCTGGTAATGCAGAACTATTGATGACAGACTATGTTTTCTTTTGTCTGCAATTATATTATTTCACATTAATTTGCCATGAATATGTATATTGAGAATAGTTTTTAAATATTTGGATTAGCATGTATTTGAAATTATTTGACCGATTTCATGTTTTCCAAATCATTGCTTTTGTTTTAGATACAGATCTTACTGATGATCCTTTAAGATGACATGTCTTTTTCCCCTCAAGATACTTTGAAAAATTGCTTTTCCTTTTTCATTTTCAGTGGTTTCAGTATGATTCCAATCATGTTTTTCCTTGTATTTCTCCCACTTTGAGTTCACTTAGCTTCTTGAATTTATGTGTTGCTACCTTTGATAATTTTTTAATATATTTTCTTTTCTGCTTTATTTGTTCTTTCTCCTCTCTTTCTGGAACTCCGTTGACTCATGTTTTAGACTCGTACTGTGTTCTGAATGTGTCACAGATATTTTCTTTTTCTATTTTTCCAGTTTAAATATTTTGTAATCACCTGCTTTCAAGTAAACTAGTAATATTTTGAAGTCCTCATTCTACTGTTAATCCTATACAAAGGGTTCTTACTTAAAAATATTTTCTTAAGCATTTGTATCATGTAGAAGTGATTGATTTTATTGATGTCACTTTTCTTCATCATTTTATCTATTTTTCTAGCATTTTTACTAATACCTTTGTATTTATATTATTATGATGATTATTTTAAATTTTTTATTTACTAACCCCAATGTCTATGTTATCTGTAGGTTTGATTCCAATGTTTATTAATTTCTATTCATTACCAGTATTATTATCCTATGTCTTGTCACATGTAATTTTTTTTTTTTTTTTTTTTTTTTTTTGAGACGGAGTCTCGCTCTGTCGCCCAGGCCGGACTGCGGACTGCAGTGGCGCAATCTCGGCTCACTGCAAGCTCCGCTTCCCGGGTTCACGCCATTCTCCTGCCTCAGCCTCCCGAGTAGCTGGGACTACAGGCGCCCGCCACCGCGCCCGGCTAATTTTTTGTATTTTTAGTAGAGACGGGGTTTCACCTTGTTAGCCAGGATGGTCTCGATCTCCTGACCTCATGATCCACCCGCCTCGGCCTCCCAAAGTGCTGGGATTACAGGCGTGAGCCACCGCGCCCGGCCACATTTAATTTTTTAATAGTATTCTAGGCAAGATACAGAAAGGAAAAGAAGGAGTTCTAAGTGATACCTTTTAGAGGATCATTTTTATTTTCCACCGGGAGACAGAGAGTGGTTGATCACCTCAATTCAGTCAGGGATCTAGTCGGGTCTGGAAACTTTTGCAATTTTTGAAAGAATCACTTCTCCTTTGGTTGTTTCTGTTCTATGTGCATACTCCTAACAGTCCTAACAGATTTGTATTTGAGGATCTGACTGTTTTCTGTCTTCTCAAATGGAGAACTGTGGGAGTTTGTTATTTGGAAGTTTCAAGTTTTGCAGTTTGTCTTCCTTCCCCATGCAATATCCAGTCACAGCAAATGTCTTAGATAGAAAACAGCATTTGGGTTTGAGAGAGGCTCCTCTCTTTAGATCAGACTATTTCTTCCAAATATTCCAAGACTATAAGAAATGATATTTTCCTTCCAGAAACTCTTCACCTCCTATTTAGAAAAAAAAAATTAGCTAATGAACCATGGAATAAAATCAATCAGGCATTTTTGACTCCAGAACTTTCAAAATTATTGTTGCAGAGCTCTGCAAACATGCAAATCTTTGCTAGATTTTCTTTCCTCAGCAGGCTACCTATTTATAGGCGAAGTTCAATCAGCCCATGCCCAGAATCAGCAAATACAGCCTCTGAAGAAATACCAGTGATAAACTGCTTACCTTGTAAAGGCTGTCCCTCTGTAATTTCAGTTTATTAAATCTGATTTTCTTACAAAGTATTCTTACTTCTTTAAAAACTATATATTTTTATGTATCTCAGTTTTTTTCCTTCCTTTGATTGGTGCAAGAAAAGAATAGCCAGCTGCCATTTTTACCTCAGTCAGAAGTGAGTGTACTTTATTAGGGTTTATTTTTCTATAATTATATTCTTAATTTCTAAAAAAAATTATATGCTCTTTTTAAAATCTGCTTATTTCAATAATTTCCTCATTCCTCTAGATATTCTATATTGTATTTTTAAATTTAAACTTTGTAGGAATAGTTATTTTATACTATACCCAATGTCAAATCAAGCAGAACAGTTTTTCCCTACATTTTCTGCTGATTTTCACAAATCATGCCTTGTTTCTTTTTGTGCTTATTTACTTATTTTTCTTTAAGCTGTTTATGCTATTTTGAAAATATTTGTGTGTTTACTCTGAGGAATAGTGTAAAGCAATATTCCTCTAAAAACTATTTCTTACTTGGCTATTATCACTTTAAATATTTTCATTTTATTTATTATTTGTTTATTTATTCATTTTCTAATTTCAATAGCTTTATAGGTACAAATTGTTTGTGGTTACATAGTTGAATTGTATAGTGATGAGGTCTGGGCTTTAAGAGAACATGTCACTGGAATAGTGTGTACTGTGCCAGATCACTTTCAATATTTTCATCTGCTGATGTTTTCGAACATCCAAGTAAGGCAAATTATGTATATAAAGACCTATGAATGTCAGCTTGGCTTTAAAATTTATCTAAGAATAAACTGCTCCACTTTACAAAATGCCAAATTGACTTTTTTTTTAATTTTTGCGGTTCTTTAAGACAAGGCTGTATCCCTTAGGAATTGTAATAATATGAGCAAGAATCTTACTAAACTTGCCATGTGTACTGGCATAAAGTGTTGTCTCCACTTCCACAAAATTTGAATCTATGAAAACCAGTGTTTACATTTTTCTTATATAACAAATTTCTCAGGGGAAAAGCAGTGCTGATAACTGCTTTACTTTACTGCATTTGGCATGATATATCCTTACAACCTTATTAGCTCATGAATGAATTAAAATCGATAGATAGATGATAGATATATAGATATCAATAATCAAATATTTTAGGAGTTTCATAAATCTAGATTCATTTTCAGCCATAATATCAGAAATTATGCCTCTTTCCATTCACTTGTCCATCTACTTCATTCCCCTTTATTGACCTTACACTTATCCAGTTCATCAATGATCACAACTTGTCCAAATCCAGTGGGCACTTTGTGATATCATTTTACTGGCTTAGCGGCACATTTGAATATATTCTACCATTCTGTCTCACTTGAATAATTTGTCTTTGTTTTCATGCATCTTCAGGGTTTGGTTTCTCTCTTCACTTATCTTTGTTTTTCTGTTTTTTTGTTTGTTTGTTTTTTCGTTTGTTTTTTCGTTTGTTTGTTTTTTCTTCCTCTGTATTTTTTCTCTTGGTCTCCTTGCTAATCCTTCCACCTATTAAAGTCTGGGAAACTTCAGGAATGGATTTGGTTTGATAACACTTTAAATCTGTGTCCGAATTTCTCTGCAGAGGTCACTGTATCCAAACCCATAGCATGTAGGATCTATGCTGATAAGCTTCAAAATTGTTTCCAGAGCCTCAAACTCTTCCCTGTGCTATGGACTCGTACAATAAAATATCTACATAAAATTACATTCATTTAGGCCGGGTGCGGTGGCTCATGCCTGTAATTCCATCACTTTGGGAGGCCAAGGCAGGTGGCTCACCTGAGGTCAGGAGTTTGAGGCCAGCCTGGCCAACATGATGAAACCCCGTCTCTACTAAAAATACAAAATATTAGCCAGGCATGGTGGGGGGCACCTGTAATCCCAGCTACTTAGGAGGCTGAGGCAGGAGAATCACGTGAGCCTGAGAGGTGAAGTTTGCAGTGAGCCAAGATCACGCCATTGCACTCCAGCCTGGGTGATAAGAGCAAAACTCTGTCTCAAGAAAACAAAATTTATATATATATATATTTAGATTCATTATATATATATTTAGATTCATTATATATATATTTAGATTTATTATATATATTTATATATTTTTAGATTCATTATATATATTTACATATATATTTAGATTCATTATATATATATATTCATTCATTTAATACATATATTGTAACACTTATTCTGTTCTATATCATCAGGATATAACATTAAAGCATTAAACAGAATAGACAAATTAACTAGCCCCATGAAGCTTTCATTCTGCTAAAGAAGCTGGAACATAGTTAGATCAATGTGTTAAAAATCAGTTGATGATTACTGCTAAGGTGAAAACCAAAGTGCAAAAAGAGATATAAAATGTGAAGGTTGCAATTTTCACTTTGATTTCTAAGAGATATCTATCTCTGAATTGATATGTCACTAGATTTTTACTATACCAAACCAGTTCCTTTCCATATAAATTTCAATAATGTAAATAGCATCCAACAACTGCATCAGTCAAAAAGTGGAAACTGTCTTATGTTCCTTATGTCAAATATCCAAACCATCAATAAACCATCAAAGTTCTAAATCCAAAATATTTTATTTTATTTTATTTTTATTTTTATTTTTGAGACAGAATCTCGCTCTTGTCTCCCAGCTGGGGTGGTCTCGGCACACTGCAACCTCCGTCACCTGGGTTCAAGCGATTCTCTTGCCTCAGCCTCCTGAGTAGCTGGGATTACAGGTGCACGCCACCACACCCGGCTAATTTTTGTATTTTTAGTAGAGACATCGTTTTTTGCCATGCTAGTCAGGCTGGTCTTGAACTCCTGACCTCATGATCTGCCCTTGTCAGCCACCCAAAGTGCTGGGAATATAGGTGTGAGCCGCTGCACTCAGCTAAATATTTTAATTTTTTTTTAAATTCAACTTTTATTTTAGATTTTGGGGATACATGTTCAGGTTTGTTACATGGGTATATTGTGTGATGCTGAGATTTTGGATACAAATGATTCCATCACCCATATAGTAGGCATAATACCCAAAAGTTAGTTTTTCCACCATTTCCCCTGTTTATTTCAAGCAAGTTCCCAGTGTCTTGCCATTATTGCCATCTTTATGTCCATGAGTACCCCATGTTCAGTTCCCAGGTATAAGTGAGAACATGTGGTATTTGGTTTCCTGTCCCTGCATTTTCATTTGACAATGAATGGCCTCCAGATGCATCCCTCCTGCCACAAAAGACATGATTTCATTCTGTTTTATGGCTGCATAGTATTTAATCATGTATATGTACCATATTTTATCCAATCCACCATTGCTGGGCACCTATTTTTGTCTGTATTGATGATGCATTTTTCTAATTCAAATTCAGTACCCACCTAATTAGTAGACTCTTCTTGACTTTTATCTGGTAATAATTAATATTCTAAATATTTTATGCAATACTCAGAGTCTTTTGAATTAGGTAGCAACAAACTCAGCTTAACATTTTAATGACTTTGTATTTGTATAGCATACCACAAAGCAAATCACAGCCAATTTTCTACCCTGTGATGGTTTCTAACTAGCTCTGCAGAATTATTTCTTTCTAATGATCTCCTTACTCGCTTCCACTTTCCTGAAATTTTATTTTTTTCTTGATGAAATGCTCGTAGTTCTGGCCTGCTAGTGCTATTTCTCTGTATTAAAAGTTATTCTTTTGGATGAGTGGTTGGCTCCTTCTCATTCTTCAGGTGTCAGCTCAAATATCATATGTTCAATTAGATCTTTATTGACTGTCTAGTCTAAATTAAATTACCCTACTTCACATAGCTGTGGGCAATCACACCATTGTGTTTATTCCTTCAGATTATTTATGATTTTGTATAATCATTGTATTTTATTTTTATTTGCTTGTTTATATTAATTTCCCCCTGCCTGTGTATAATTTACTTGAAAACCAAGATATTTCTTGTCTTCTTTGAAATTATATACTTGGCACTAGAGCACATTAGTAAACTATTGTTGAATGACAGAATGTTGTTGAGTGAAAAGATGAAATAAGTTTCTTGCATATCTTCTCATCTAAAACTTAGAACATTCTTGTGAAAGAGGCAGGTGTGTTGTTTGATTTGTTTATAATTTATTTTTTTCTTATTTTTTTCTTCTACCCACCTGCCTCAAAAGGTATTTTAGTTGCTTGAATGAAACTAGTGATTTCTGTAATTTAATCAAGACTTTTATAAGTCTGTAAAATATATTATATTTATGATTATATTTGGAAATAACTTTAATGTTATTTAGATAGTGTCACCAGCTAATAATTGTATATTTGTCATGTATGCCTTCTAATTATTTGTTATACATACCTTCTAGTATTGGAATCCCTTAAAGTTATTCTTCCATCTGTCCTGTTCTTTGTAATATCACATGCAATGCCTGCCCATCCACTTTATCCAGGTCAACATAGCAAGAAGAAATTACATCTCATTAAACAATCCGGTCAGGAAAGTGGATACAATCGACTGAGTAACATTGAGTCAGTTTTTAGTTTTGGATTTAAGATTCATATGCTTCAATGATATTTCTAAAGGAGGTACAATATTAGAAAATTAAACAAACATATTATGTACACTGGAAATTATTGTATAAATTTCCAGTTAATGGAAAATTACACAGATAATGAGTGTACAGCATGGTTTTTTATTAAAAAAATGAAAAAGAAAGCCACCAATTTAACAACAGCTTTAATGAAGAATGAGAGAATTAACATAATCCTAAAATATGTCTCTATATTCTCTTTCTAAGAACTACATCTGACTTCTGACCTTGAGGTGCCCAGCAACCACCAGCACTTAACACTGACCTTTTCACTTATCAGAAACGTATTATTCCCTATGCAAATAAATTCTGTCTAGACACATTTGGTTTGCATTACTTATCAAACCCTCAAACATTCTACTGAATAAATTTATAGAAAATACCAAAATTAAAAAAAATACCACATGTTCTCACTTATACGTGGGAGCTAAATGATAAGAACTTATTAACACAAAGAAGGAAACAACAGACACGGGGGTCTACTTGAGGGTGGAGGGTGGGAGAGGGAGAGGAGGAGAAAAGATAACTATAGGGTACTGGGCTTAATACCTGGGTGATGAAATAATCTGTACAACAAACACCCATGACACGTGTTTACCTATGTTACAAACCTTTCCATGTACCCACAAACCTAATATAAAAGTTAAAAAAGTTTCTAATTAATTATAATAAACTATACTGACCACAAACAACAACTTTAGTGTAGCACCTAGGAAATTAAATGTGAATTAGTGGGTCATATTTCATTAATACTTGAGAAAAAAATGTTAATGAAAGCTGAAGAGATTTCACATGAAGGTAGTAAAACTTAATCAATTAAAAAGAAAAAAAATAATTTAAAAAATATAGTGAGAAAAAGCCTTTTTAAAAAATGTGTTGCCCAAGATAGAACTTCCCCGTGAATACTGCATCATGGAATATTTTCAAATACATAGATCCCTATCTGAGGTATTCAGGTGGAATACAGGAATTTACAACTGAGCTTTAACCTCGTCCCAATATTCTGCAGAAACCAACCATAAACAAGTGTTATACCTCCATTTTGTTTTCATTTTATTTCAAATAGGAATTGTAATATTATTATATATATTACATATTCTAATGTTTTACAGTGTATATGTACATAAAGATATACATATGTGTGCACATGCACATATGTAGATGCAGATTTAGATATAAGTATAAATATATGTACTATTTTAAATTACATTTTTTATTATGACATTAAAACACTGGATCCCATATTTGGACTTGTTTTTACTTAGCAGCATTAGATATTAACTATTCAAATGTTCTGTTGATCTGTATATTTACCAGCCTGCTGATTGATAAATTAATTCAGTATGCATTTAGTAATTTTTGGTTTTATCTTTTATATAAAACCTTTTATTATCATATTAATATATGATTCATATAATTTTTCATAGTAAATGATGGTGGTTTAAATAATACTGAATTCATTATACAGCTGATGCAATGCCCATTGGATCAGATCATTAGTCTTTGCCAGCAGGTACACATATATTCTTGGAAGTTACACATTTTCTAGATTTTTTTCATTAGAATAAATGAGTAGAAGTAGAACAAATGTCCAAATCAATGGCTCTTCTAAATTTTCAGTAGTCGTAGCAATAAGGGTTAACATTCATGTGTGCTATGACATTTGTCAGAATATGTGTACGTATATTTATGTAGCTGTCTCTTGTTATTACATACACACATATATATAGCATACATGTTAAATTACTATTTTATACATTAAAATCAATTGTGACTACTCAGCCAAACAAAGAATATGCATGTAAATAGGGGTAAGTTCAGTTGTTAGCTACTCTCTTTTGTACTTTCCTCTCTTGATTATACAAACTTTAAAAACTTCTGATAATTAGTGTCACCGTAACTATTTGCTGTGGACCTTAATACCTGGGTGATGAAATAATCTGTATAACAAACCCCATGACAGGAGTTTACCCATGTATCAAACTTTCACATGTAACCACAAACCTAAAAAATAATAATAATAAATTAAAAAACAAAACAGTGATGAATCAACAGAGGGAGTAAAGATGCCTATCATGAGAGCCATTTGACTTATATAAAGATATTTGACCTCTAACTTAAAAGTAGTGAGTAGAAACTGAATTGTTTCATTCAGGATAATGACACATTAAACTTACATATCAAAAAAAAATTACCTAACTTGCTCTTTAGAAAATCTATTGGAAGAATATAAAAAAGACAAGCACGCTGGTGAGATATAATGCCACCGTAGTCTAGCATAGTGGCAATGAAGATCGGGAAAACATATCTAATTAAAATTCCAAGGGCTGGGCACGGTGACTCATGCCTGTAATCCCAGCATTTTGGGAGGCCAAGGCTGGCGGATCACCTGAGGTTAAGAGTTCAAGACCAGCCTGGCCAGTATCGTGAAACCCTGTTTCTACTAAAAATACAAAAATTAGCTGGGGGTGGTGGCGGGCGCCTATAATCCCAGCTACTCAGGAAGGAGGCTGAGGCAGGACAATCGCTTGAACCCAGGAGATGGAGATTGTAGTTAGCTGAGATCACGCTACTGCACTCCAGCTTGGGCGACAGAGCAAGACTCCATCTCTAAATAAATAAATAAATAAATGAAAAGAAAATCACCAAGGCCTGAAATTGTTTGAAATGAAGAGGTGAAATAGAATGATGACGTTTTATTTCCTCTGAGGTTTCTGGAGGAAACATTGCATGAAAGATCATTCATGGTGATAGATGATACTAGACCATTAGATATAGTTGGTATAAAAACCAGAAGTTCAGGTTGGGACACACTAACGTTCATGTATCTCTTAGATGTTTCTGATTCCAAGGCACAGGATCTATGCATCTGAAGTTAGACACACAGATACAGGTTGATGACTAATTTTAGGGGGTGCAACTGTGTTTGAAGTTATGTGGGTTAATACATTGATAAAGAGATTGTAGGATAAGAGAAAAGGATTAGGGAGAAGGCCGTAAAGACCATCAAAGCACAGAGTTGGTAGAATTACAAAGAAAGAGAATATTGCTATAATAAAGAAGAGCAAACATGATAAAAGTTTTAGAAATAAGAAAAATCAAAATATTAATTTCAGCAAAATTGTTAAATCATACACTACCACAGTTGAAAAGTGAAGCAGTGTTCTTAAAGATATAATTTAAGTATTATCTAGGATATATGACAAAAATATAAAGATAGCAAATGTATGAGAGAATAAAATTGAGGTAGACCTGAGAGATGCATATAGGTGTACATATATGTATACCTATATATCATTTCCCTATATATAATTTTTCTAAATATATGTATACAATTATGATTTCCCTAAATTTGTAAACAAGCTCTAGTTTCAAAAGTTCCACTGAATGCCTTACAAGAATATTAAAATAAAATGGGATATACTCAACCAGAAATTCTACTGTAGTCTTTGATAGTCAAGAATAAAAGAGCTTGTCAAATGAAGCATTCCAGAATGAGACAAAAAATGCACAAACACATATATACCTAATAATTACACATAAATCACACCCAAATTCAAAAACTGAGAATAGACCTTGGTGAAAGACTGTTAAGGTCAGTATTTTTTAAAATGTTACTATATCTTCCTCCAAGGTAAAACCAAGTTAATTTGCCTCGTGTCATCTAGCACTAACAAAATGACATAACCAGCAGGGCTTTTTTTTTTTTTTTTTTTGGAGATGGAGTCTCACTCTATCGCCCAGGCTGGAGCGCAGTGGCGCAGTCTCAGCTCACTGCAACCTCCGCTTCCCAGGTTCAAGCAATTCTCTGCCTCAGCCTCCCAAGTAGCTGGGATTACAGGCGCCCGCCACCATGCCAGGCTAATTTGTGTAATTTGTGTATTTTTAGTAGAGATGTGGGGTTTCACCATCTTTGCCAGGCTGGTCTTGAACTCCTGACCTCGTGATCCACCCACCTCGGCCTCCAAAAGTGCTAGGCGTGAGTCACCAGGCCCAGCACCCAGTAGGGCTTTTTGAATATATGGGTAATGTGGTCCACATTTGAGAAAAGCATGTATTGTGTAATCATAAGGATTCCAGTTTTGAATGGGGAGGAGGATGAGAGAAATCTCTACAACCAAACCAGGCTAAACCGTACTGTGTTGTTCCATTTTGTTGTTATAAACCAGCAGACCTCATGGTACTTAAAGAATCTGTGGTCAGTAAGGATACTGTATAAAGCATCAGATGCTTTTCAGTGGCAAAATCACAGCATTGACTTTTAGGTTTCTGATGTCTATCTGTGTGCTCATTTGCCAGTAATTATTTTATTTTTGAGAAACTGGCTTTAATGAAGCCAGTCTTGCTCCTAGAATCAGGTAAAGTCTGAATACGGAACTGTGGGACATAAAATGACTGGATATTATCTGACACAAAATGTCACGAGAATAGGAATGTACAGCAATGACCTATCATCAACTAGAAATGATATGAAAGGGTTTAGGCACACTTGTAGTAAGTGCTTCAAGCTTCCTCAACACTTAGTCCTGCTGCATTGCCTTCGCTCCCTCTATCTACACCTATGACTTCAAGAAAACTGGTTTCTTGTAAACAGTTTATTAGGAGGAAAAAACACATTGGTTTATAAACAATTCTACAGGATAGGCTAGGATCAAGCAGGAATGGATGGTTATCACCAAAGGTTAGCGGTGAATGCAAATTCTTGAAGCAGTAAATGTGGTTGTCCAATTTCTCTGGTCCTACATATGGCCTACAGCACAGAGCAACATCAATTCAGGTGAGCTACTAAGGTTTTGGCTAAATGGAATGAATAGGACTGAAAAACTGGTAACACAAAAGCTCTGGTAAAACGATATGTTTAGGCATCTCTCTAACTGGGCAAAGACTGTGAAGATATTTGTGTTTCAGGTGAATGTTCACCAAATGGCTTCCAATGTAGAAAATGCTCTAATAATGAGGTGAATGAGAAGAAATTTCCTACTGATATCGGTTAGCTTCTTTTCCCAATCACCTCAGTGCTTCCTCAGTGGGAACATGTACAAATAACTGTGATGGCAGGATAGACAGAGGTTGTCTATGGGATCAACAACATGAACTTCCTTGCACAAAGGCTGACCTGCTAAATGCCTATCCTGCCAGCAGCTGACCCTCCAATTTGTTGACATTGCTCAGATGATCTAGGCAGCTACCATGTGTAAGTAAGCTTGATTATGTTGGAACAGTTCCATCATGGAATGGGCATTGACTTTTTCTCACTAGAATAGACATGTATTCTGGATATATGTATGCCTTCTCTACTTTTAGTGCTTTGTTTTCAGTACAATCCATGAAATTAAAGGATTCCTAAGTTGTTATCATCATGTCATCATGATAGGGAATTCTATGCACATTCCCTGTTAACCAGAAGTATCTGGCTAACATAACTGAATTGGCCTACTGAAGACTCGATGATGATAAAAGTTGGGAGATTACATGCCGAAACGGTGGGGTTCTTTCTTACAGAATACAACCAAGTACGTTGCTGTTGTTACCATTGCAAAAATGCATCAAAGTGTGGAAGTAGATGTGACTTCCTTCATTATTACACCCAATAACCACTTACAGAACTGTTGAATTTTATGAGTATAACTTTAAACTCTACCAGTTTGGATATCTTTGTTCCTAAAACAGGAATAGAATTGTGACACATATATCATTTGATAGTCAGTTTTAACTTGTAATTTGAAACTTGTTTGTGTATATTTATACTTGCAAATTTTTATTTTACATATGAAATGTACCATACTCATTATTAATCATTACATCTTCTCAAAAACTTATTTATCAAAGCTTAATCTAATAAGAGTAATATAATAATAAAGAATGTCACCATGTTGCCCTAAAAACTAGGTTACAAGTGTTTTAGAATAACGATCTAAATCTTTGCTAAAGCGTTTTTTCTATATTTGCTATTCAATAGGTGTCTTTCAGTAAATAAAATTTTGTTGCAGGCTACAGATTAAAAAAATAAAGAGATTGTTTGGTGATTGTCATGGCAATGATTAAAATAGTGCATTAGCCTCAATAAAATATTGTTAATAATAAAACAATAAGTATATTTATCAGTAAACTGAAATACATTTTATAGTCACCATATGCTTGTTTTCTGGTATGTTTGACTAAAATAAATTATCTTTGTATTACAATACATTTGTATAATTAATCATTCAAAGAAATATGAAATTTTTTATTTTTACTTGCTTGCATCCACAAAGATTATCTTTCAAAATTTATATGATTGTAGCAATACAATTAATTATTGAGAGAGTTAATAACAGTTTTTAAAATTCTTGATCTAAATAAGACCAGATGTAGATAACATTAAACTTTTAGGTTGTCGCATACACAGATCAAATACTCTTTTTTGGGAAAAAATGGTATTTATAACATGGGCTGATTTTTTATGCAATGGATTATGCTTGAGGTGTTAATTAGCCATATATTTCTTCTGATTAATGGTTGGATTTATAGGAAAATATGTGGACAGACAGAATGCTAGAGCATATGTAGTCTTGTTGACCTATCATAATTTTATATGTCTCCTTCTTTTTCTGCATACAAAATAAAGGAAAATAAAAATACCTGTAACAAATTCTCATTCCCAAATCAGAACTCCTTCTTTGTTTGATCTTATAACTCACTCCTCTTTATAGATAGAAGCCATATTGTACTGTACAATACACTCCTTTCAACCCCTGGTGCAATACTTGATTACCCTACTATGATGTTATTGTCCGTATCCTTTATCAGTTCTAGTAGTTTTGCATTCCACTATCTGGGAACCACACAGTTTCATCTCAGTTTCTCTTGCACTCCAATTCCAACACATTTCTTAGAAATTGTGTATTTCAGTGCATTGTTCTTTGAGTATTCATTTGCTTACTCTCTTCTTTCTTATTAACCTTATATTTCATGGCTCACTACAGTTACCTTTTGCATTCCATTTGAATAATACTCTCTTCTTCCTTCTTCCTCTCTCATACTCTGTCAAAACTCCAAACCTAGTTAGTTTTTCTTTTTTTTTTCCTCTCTGATTCTGTGCCTGGATTGAGCTGATGAATATTGCTTGAGGAAACAAATACACACAGAAAGACACATACAACCACAAGCACACATCATATTGCTATGCCTCCTTTTTTGTTATTTTTTAAATTTTTACTTGTATTTTAGATTTAGGAAGTACATTTGCAATTTTGTTTCAAGGATATATTGAGTGACACTGAGATTTGATTATAGTCAATCCCATCACACTGGTAGTGGGCATAGTACCCAATAGTTCTTCTCTCTCCCAAGGGTAGACATCATTCCAAATTTTGTCTTTCATTATCTTGTTGCTTATCCTTATTTTACATAAATATATTATGCTCTATGTATTAATTTGAAACAATTTGGCACAGTGCTATTTTGTGAGATCCATCCATATTATGCAGAGAGATAAATTGCTCATTTTCATTTCTGTATAGTGTTATATGAATATTCCACCACCTATTTTTTTGTCTTTTGAAAATCTTGTCTCTAATGAAATTAGAAATAAGTGCTGACATGAATATTCTTCCTCTCTTATATATATTTTTAACTAGAAGTACAATTGCTAGGTCATAATTTATAATCCATTTATTTAAATGTTATTATGACCTAAATTTTTTTCTCAAAAATCATTTACTAACTTTAATTTGAACTAATATTTTATTACTATGTCAATTATGTGATATCCTCATGAATGCATGAACTTTTTAGACTTCAAAATTTCTGCCAAATGAGTAGAGACATATTTATCTTCTTGTTTTAAATTTGTAAGTCTATTTAATAATGATGTTGATTACATTTTCAGCTGCTTATTGACCAAATAATTTCCCATGTAATTAAATCATTTTTTGTTGTTATTGTTGTAGTGATTGCTTTGTTCTATTGAAATTCCTTCTGAATTACCCAGATCGACAGGAGCAAATCCTATTGTCTGATACCCATAAAAGTCACTTACTCATCTGGATGCAAATGATAAATTTCAAAGGCTGTTCTTTTTAGGAATGAGAAAAGCAGTTGGGGCCAACGGCAATGGGGCCGGCAAGAGACCGAACCCCACCAATGGCCAAAGAAAAAGTCAGACAGTTGCTTAGGAGGACTTCTGAAACTCTCCCTACCTATAGCAGCCAAGCCATGAGCAAAGCGTTCCTGGTCAGGGACCCAAATCTTACCAAAGCACTAGGGGTTCGGTCTAGGTCTTGCTGTTCACTGCAAAGAAAGCCAATTACTGAGACAATGAGTATTGCCAAGAAAGAGGGCTCTATTTGTGTACTGAAGGCAAAAAGATGGGAAATCAGTCAAAATCCATCTCCTCAACTGACTAAAATTAGGGGTTTATATAGCTGGGGAAAAATGTAATTTTGTGTGGAAAAACAGGAATTAGGGAAGAGTGAAGAAGAGGAGTTGGCCAACAGGAAGCATATGGACAGTAATCATGATGGGTGAGGAGTTTGGCATCTTGTTGTCCAGATGCAACAATCTGGTATGTTTCGGTTTCTTGATATTATCTGGGAGGCCTGATGGTTGGTTTCCTGAGTAAAGGAACTCAGATAAGACAAATGAAACTTTCTCAAGTTTTATGACTGGGACAATCCATTTCTATGTTTATTCAAAAGAAACCATAAACATCAGTTCTATGGGACAACTGGGCAGGTTTCAATTCCATTTGTAAAGTATGTGACACATATTTTCCTTGATTTACTATTTTCTGACAGCTGTCTTACTCTACTATATGAATTTCTACTCTTCTTTTATTTTTTAGTATCCCCACAGCTCAGTTCTTGGTCTTCTTTGCTTCTCTAATTCCATTCACTCTGAGGTGATTTCATTTAGTCTCAGAGATTAAAAAAAAAAAAACTATATCTGATGACACCTCATTTCATTAAAGTGATTTTTTTCCTTCCAGTTACTTTGGCTAAATACTTTTCTAACAAAACTTATGTCCCAATTTATTCTATCCTAACTACCTCCACCTCTTCAAATGTCATTCAAAACATATTTCCTCTCCCCTGCATCACCAGCATAATTTCCTGACTGATCTTCCTACTTTTACTTTTGCTTCCTGGAAGTTTTTTTACCAACATGAAAAACACAATGGTCTCCTAGAAACAAGTCAGATCATGTCACTACTCTGCTCAAGTCCAAATTTAACATTTTAATTTCTGTTAAAATGCACTTTCTTAAGAAACTTCCATGGCCATTACGTTCAATACTGAAAACTTACTCCTGTAGCCCCTATTTGGCCCTCCCAATTCTTCTTATTAGCTGTAACTTTTTTCTTTGTATTTATTTTATTAGATAATTCTGTTTGAAATACTTCTTTTAATTGATTAGCTCCACACAAGAATGTAAGCTCAATGAAAGTATGGATCTCTCATTGTGAAATCGATTGTATATTTTAGGTGTCAAGAGTAGGCCCCAGCACATAGTTGGTCCACACTAATTGTTGCTTAAATGAGTAAACAGATTAGTCCTTTTAAAAAATAAACACATTGTATCTCAAACATATAGTGTTTCTTATTCCATTTTAAAACTAATAATATTGTTACAAAAGTGTTTCAATTTTACATTTATTTGCAGTTCTCTGATTATTAGTTTTAATATTTCTCATATATTATTAAAATGTGTTTGCATATCATTAATATTACTTATTTGTCAATTTTATATGTTGCAAATATCTTCTTTCAATTGGTAATTGACATTTTCATGGTTTTATAGATATCTTTTGGTTAACAAGTGAATACTTAAATTTAACATGTGTTTTAGTTTATTTTTTAAATAAATAATCTGTGCTATGTTTTTGCGTTGTCTTTCTCCTTCAAAGACAGATGTATATTCATCTATATTTCCTCTGAAATGTTAATGTCTTGATTTTGATATTTAAATTATTGAACTAGTTTAATTTTTGTATATAGTTGAGACTGAAAATGCTTTTGTTTTTCTTTTTACATATTTTTAATATTTCTTTAATCAATAGCTCCTTTCTTTCCCATTGCTTTATCATGTTACATGGTCATTTATTAGCATTCTGCTATGGAACAAAGTCTGCTTCTGAGTACTTGCTCTTTTATAGTGGTTGATTTGTCTAATTCTGTGTCATTACCACATGCTCTTAATTACTACAGTTTCAAAATTAAAACTGATATCTGCTAGGGAATGTCCACCTTTATGCCTTTGCATTCTTATGTGTCTTTGTATTTCACTTTTCATTAAAAATTTGTTTCAGTTCTTTAAATCTGCTTTTATGAATGACAATGACCTGCAATTATTATCTTTTCTTGTCTTGTTTTCATCTGAAGACTCACACAATGCATTAGGAAATTAATATATTGTGTATTCTCCAGAATACAAAAGGTTTGTAATATTAGAAATAACTATTCATGAAATGTTTGGCATAAATTGGCTATGTAGGCATAGCGGTATGGTCCAGTGTTTCATTTTTAGATTGATTTTCAGCACTTGCTCTATAAAGTAAATGGTTGTCAAAAATTTCTGTTTAAGTTAGTTTTGGTTAATTTTATTTTTTCAAACCATTTCTTCATTTGCTGGCTTGAAATTTATTAATGCTACTTATGTTCTTTTAAAAGTCATCTTTGTATTTTATTACGCTTATTTAATATAAAATCTAAGATGTATAAAAATTGCCAACTACTTTGCTAAAAATTCAAGTATTCTAGAATGATCTAATGCTATATCATAGTTATTCTCAAACTTTAGTGAGCACTGTAAGCACCTGGGAAGCTTATTAAAACAATTAGCTGGGCTCTGCTTCTGGAAAGTCTGATCATTAAACAAGGTCTGAGAACATGAAACTAAGAACTTCACAGGTGATATTGATGCTGCTGGTCCACAGACAACATTTTGAGAACCTCACTGGTAGCAGATGCTATTGTTACATTGTTCTTTTCACACTGGTCCACCCTGAGTTCTTCTGACAGAACAGTGGGCATCTCCTATTTTAATTGTCAGCTTTCCATCTAAAGCACCCTTTTTTTCTTGCTAAAATATTTCTCTAGAGCCAGAAACTCTCCTTTGTCAAAGTATAAGGCAGCCTGAAATTCTGAGATGTTTGCTGACAAGCTTCAAGCAATAAAGCCTGCATAAAATTATTCTAAGGCTCATTAACAAGCACGAGCTCCAGTTGTCTTTGGCAGTGATTCATTTGCCAAGTCACTCTTTACGGTCCTTAGTCTTTCTGGTCTCACCTCTCTGCTTTCACACACTGTTTCCTAGGACCTTCTTCAAATCAACTACCTACTTCCCATACTCCAGTATTGCCCCACATTCCACTTTTGAGAGAACAATTACTTAGGCAATTATCTGACAGTGGTCTTAGAAAGCATAACCTCGTGTTAGAAATCTCAAACTGGATCACTTGATGCAATTAAAAACTAGAACCTGTTTAGTGTAAATAAAGATGTAATAGTCATGGGGCACTATAAAATAAAAGTCTGTAAAACCCTTGCCCATGGTGGATTCAGATTAGGTGCAAGTAGAAGAGTAAGAAATGGATTATTTGAAAGTTCTGGCTTTCAAAAGATATGGGTACAATGGCAATTTTTACATTGTTGAGTTGGATTGTTTTTGTCAACTGCCCAGAAGACTTGAGGAAGTAGAATGTCCAAGACAACATATAAGAAGGCCTTAACACTTGACTTGGCAGGGTGAAGCTATGCTGAAAATCAAGCATTTAATAGTTTCAGAGAATTAAGTGACAAAAGGTAAAGTTTGAAGATATGGAAAACCCTCCTCTGAATCAAGAGTCAACATCTTGACTAAATCACCTGGAATTGGTCTTGATATACTAATAGGATAGATATTTGAAAATTAGACATGACATAACTCCAGTCAAATAGGGTAAGAGCATTAATATTTCTCGAAAGAGTTGTAGCAAGCATTCTGAGGGTTTAATAGAGGTGGTGATTTTAAAGTGGGAATATTGACAGAAATTAAAAAGGAAAGAATCACAAAACCATGTTCCCTGAAAGATCCAGTTAGCACAATAAGGAACAGAAAGTGAATGGTGCAACGGGATTATATATAACAATAAATGAAAAGTAAGTAAAAGGACATTGATAATTCTTGAGGGAAAATAGATGTATAGCAAACAAGAATGTATGGTCAAGAAAGACCAAAATCATGCAAGATGATGGCAGATGTCAACCGCTAATTTAAAAAAATATATATTTACTCAGTTTTTGTATTTGAACCAGTTTCTAGAGCCAGATAATGTCAAATGAAGGGGGATTTGGATTGTCTTGAGGATGGAACCTGTAATACCAAATAAAAACTATACAATAAACATTCGTCTAACCAGTTGTGTAATGGAACCAGTTTATATCAGTTTTCAAGAGCTTATTGTTCGCATCTTTGCTCAACTCCATGTTTAATATTATCATGTTGGTATGTTAAAATCAGCCATGGTGGGTGTATTTACACCATGGAATTTTTTAAAAATGCTATAAATTAGGGTTTTTTTTTCTCTCTGCCTAAACCCCTCAAGGGAGTAGAAAGTTTGAAGATTAGAAGTACACTACAGCTCTTACCAGTTTCCCGGTATGAGTGTACACTGAGGGAAGGGAAACACCCAGCTTCTTAAACTTCTGTTGGAAACAGGCTTTGAATTAATGACTCCTACATACCAATTAAGCTCCAGGAAGACTCATTCTGTGTTCATTTCTTCAGTTCCTAGGTGCATAATTGAAATCCTATATTGGTAGCTGACAAATTACTCACATGACTTGCCAATCTATGGATTAAGAGCCATTATGATGGAATAAACCAAAGGAAGCCCCTGAAAATTACTTCTTCAGGCAAAAAGTAAGTCAGAATAACTACGACATTTCAGGTAAAATTACATAATTAGGTGCCACCATATAAAATGTAAGTAACTAGAGGTGATCAGCCATATAATATTCCTATTCAATTTATGGGTTTAGGTTCTAAAAACTAAATAAATAAAAACAAAAAAGAAACAGATGGTGAAAAGTAATTGTATTTCATAACTTCTGACTTAATTGAATATCACTTTCTGTGCAAGATGTGCTATATTTAATTTTATAGATTAATAAATTAATGGCCTCTGGCACCTGATATATAGTTCTGTTGAATCAATTCCTTAGATACCCTTCAATAAAAAGACTCAAACATTGTTCACATTAACATGGAAAGTAGTACATACCCACTGAGTTGCCTCATGCATATATTTTAATTTTTCTGCTTTTAGTCATATAGTACAAAAGACCCTGAACATCTTAGTCTTCTGGAGAATATTGCATTGATCCACTATATTGGTGACAGAAGTTTGATGCACTCCTAGTGTGTTCTAGTAATCTATTGCTGCATAACAAAATAACCTAGGAGTTAGTGTCATAAAATAATTCTTTCATAATTTTGTGCACCTCAGCTGAAACATTCTGTTCACAGAGGATGTAATGTGAAGAAAAACCTAGGAAGCCAGATCACTATCTAAACCAGGGCCCCAGACATATGACCCCAGTCAAACCACCCTACCTACCTCCAGCCGTTCAAGCCTACTGATAAGGAGTAAATAATTGAATCAGGGAAAGAGAAGGGTGTTTCCTTCTGAGCAGGTTTCAAGGTGAGTAACATAGTAGTATTTCTTGGTAGCTTTAAGAGGCCGTGTTGTTAATGCCTCAAATTTATCACAAGCAAGGGACAAATTCCATCAGACACTGGTTAAAAACTCCTGCAAGGAATTGGTTGGCTGTCTGATACTTGCCTGGTACAAGCACTTGGGTTGAAATGAGTGGGCTCCTGTGAGCTGAGAAAGTGTCTCAGGTGCTTGAAGTTGTAAGTTGAACAATATTCAACTTACGTAAGTCCATCTTGTCTTAAATTCTCTTAAATCTTTCCCCAGTTTAACTTTATACTAATAAAAGAGGAAATCTTTTAGGAAGACTGTTGAAAAGAGTCTTGAAACTGGCAGCAATAGACAGAGCTGAAAGGTCATCATGAACTCCTCAGACCCCTCGGATTTGGAAACTGGAAAATATGAAGATGTGCTTATAAAGGTGGACATCGCTGCTGCTATCAACTCTTGGACTGAGTGAGATCAGCAGAAAAGTGAAGTCCTCTGCTAAACATCACTCATCTTACACAGAGACTGTTCTAGCACATAGTGGGTACTGCCAAATATCTATTTACTAATCAATAAATTTTCAGCACCTGGAAACCATGTATCAAACCACATCCTTCCAATAAAATCAATAAGCAATGTTTATAATTTTTGAAATCCAGTCTATTCTTTTTAAAATTTATTATTCTGTTTTCACAAACTTTGAGGCTGTCTATTAACACTCTACTTAGGAGATATAAACATTTCTGGCCCCCACAGCAATTCAAAATATAGCATTATACTTACATAAGGCAGCTGAGCTATGAAAACAGGCTGTGGAAGGATTAAGTACAGTCATGCATCATTTAACAATGGGAATATGTTCTGAGAAGAAATGCATCATTAGGCAATTTTGTCATTGGGCAAACATCATGGAGTGCACCTACCAAACCTAAATGCTATAGCCTATTACACACTCAGGCTATGTGACTTACCTTACTGCTTGTAGGCTACAAACCTGTATTGTATGCCATTATTCTGAATACTGTTAACAATTCCAACACAATGGTAAGTATTTGTGTATTTCAACATAACTAAACATAGAAGAGGTCAAGTAAAAATACAGACAAAAAATTGTATACCTGTGTAGGGCACTTACCATGAATGGAGCTTACAGGACTAGAAGTTGCCCTGGATGAGTCAGTGAATGAATAGTGAGTGCATGTGAAGGCCTAGGACATTACTGCACACAGCTGCAGATTTTATAAACACTGTACACTTAAGTTATAGTAAATTTATTTTAAAAAGTCTTTCTTTGGTTGCAACTTAAATTTAACTTATTGTAACTTTCCTTCTTATAAACAAATTTTTTAACTTTTTGACTTTTTTGTGATAACACAGCTTAAAGACAAACCTTGTACAACTGTACAAATATTAATATTTTTCTTTATATCCTTCTACAAACTTTATCTATTTTTGTGTTTATTTTCACATTCTATAATTCCTGGTTTAAAAGTGAGACACAAACACATTTTAGCCCAGCTCTATGCAGGGTAAGGGTCATCAATATCACTGTCTTCCACCTGTACATATTTTCCCACTGGCAGGTCTTCAGGGGCAATAACACACATGGAGCTGTCATTGCCTATGATAACAATGCCTTTTCTAAAATACCTCCTGAAGGACTTGCCTGAGGCTGTTTTACATTTTTTTAAGTAGAAGGAGTACACTCTAAAATAAAAATAAAAGTGTAGCATAGGAAATACATAAAACCAGTAACACAGTCATTTATAATCATTATTAAGTATTATGTACTGTGCATAATTACATGTCCTATGCTTTTATACAACTGGCAGCATAGCAGGTTTGGTCATACCAGGATCACCACAAACATAGGAGTAATGTGCTGCACTGTACCTTTAAAATGGCCATGATGTCATTAGGTGATATGAATTTTTCATCTCCATTATACACTTACACGACTGTCCTGGTATATGCAATCTGTTGTTGATAAAATGTTGTTATGGACACCTGACTATACAAATTATACCTAAGTAAGCGTTGGGGAATGGGTTAGTTGGTTAGTTGCCTATACATGATTAAATGAGATTACATGATCCATCATAATTCTTCATGTTTATCTGATAATAAAAGCTTGTCAAATAGTAAGAAGTAGCCTCATAGTCTCAGACTCACTTTCCCCTTCCACCTAACAGCATTGCTCTGTAGCATTAAATATCCCCGGAAAATCTCCATGCCAAACATCTCAGGTCCCTGGAGGAAACACTAATCAATCTCTTCTCCTTCATACCTCTGCATTCCCTTGAGCCTACCCACCACTCAGTCATCATAACAAAAATAAATATGAGACAAAAATGTAGCTTCAAAATCTCATTATTTTGACTCAAGTATTAATAAACGTATTTCTCCCAGGAGTAAATTTTAAATAGCTATGTGAAATGATTGATATAACATTATTTTCTGTTCCCAACATCCTGCAACATAATTTCTACAATTATTATTCTGGTGTAATTTCCATAGAAAAAAATAAGTCTGTTTTAAATATACTTTGATGAGTTTGACAAATGTATATGTTCATATTACCACCACACCAAGATAAATACATTTCTCTCATTTAGAAAATTCTCTCAGTGACATTTGTTAGTTTATTTGTTTACTATACAACCACCTTTAACTCTCCACAATAACCTGTCTGATTTATATGATCATGGTTTAGTTTAGCTCCTTTTAAAAATTCATGTAAGTGTGAAACCACAATACTATCTTTCCTGCTTGTCATCTTTTATACAACATAGTGGTTCTGAGATGTATTCATGGCATTTTCTGTATACCTACTGTAGTTGTATTCCTGAGAAATATTTCATTGAAGAAATAGACCACACTGTGATTATCATTTTCCTGTTGGTGAACATTTGCATCCAGATTTGGGCTATTATGAATATCTATTATGAATGTTCTTGTATGATTACCTTGTGGTCAAATGTTTGCCTATGCCAGCAAAATATCTGTGAAGTGGAATTGCTGGATCATTGATAGATATGTATTTTCTTGCATTTAAAGTATAGATATTACATTTGTTCTTAAAAAAACTAGTTCAGACATAATAAAGTACAAAGAAAAATAATTTTAGCATGAATATTATTTTTAAAGTGTTCAGTGTTTTGTGTCACAAGTGTAAAAAATCTAATTTTCTTCATCAGAATTGAGAATGAGTGTGGGGTTCCAAAAATAAGTCTAATTAAAAAAATTCTAAAGTCTGTTTTATTCTCTAGAGCACAGTTTCACTCATTTGTTAGTTTATTAATTATTATTGATAAGGATATATTGTTTGCATAAAATTGGTTGCTGGCAATTTGTTTTTAAAGCTTTTTGTAGATTTACAGGGCAGAAGTGCATGTTTCTTACATGAATACATTGTGTAGCAGTGAAGTCCAGGCTTTTAGTGCCACCATCACCCATATAGTGTATATTGTACCCAATGGGTAATTTTTCATCTCTCACCCCTCTCCCACCCATCCGAGTCCCAATGTCTATTATTCAACTCTCTATGTCTATGTGTACACATTGTTTAGCTCTCTTATAAGACAGAATATATGGTACTTGATTTTCTAAGTTTCTAAGTTTCACTTAAGATAATTGTCTTCAGTTCCATCCATGTTGCTGCAAAAGACATGATTTCATTCTTTTTTGTCTGAGTAGTTCCATGGGATATATACACCACATATTCTTCATTCTTTATTCAGTCATCTATTAATGGATATTTACATTGATTCCATAATTTTGCTATTCTGAAAATGCTGCAGTAAACATGCAAGTGCAGGTGTCTTTTTTTTTTTTTTTTTTTTTTTTGAGACGGAGTCTCACTCTGTCGCCCAGGCTGGAGTGCAGTGGTGCGATCAGGGCTCACTGCAAGCTCCGCCTCCCGGGTTCACGCCATTCTCCTGCCTCAGCCTCCCAAGTAGCTGGGACCACAGGCACCCGCCACCACATCTGGCTAATTTTTTGTATTTTTAATAGAGACGGGGTTTCACCGTATTAGCCAGGATGGTCTTGATCTCCTGACCTCGTGATCCGCCAGCCTCGGCCTCCCAAAGGTGTCTTTTTAATATGTATTTCTTTCCCTTTTCATAGATACCCAGTAGGGTGACTGCTGGATCAAAGAGTAGTTCAATTTTTAGTTCTTTGAGAAATCTTCATAGTATTTTCTTTATTTTACTATATTATTATTATTATTATTATTTGAGATGGAGTTTCGCTCTGTCGCCAGGCTGGAGTGCAGTGGCACGATCTCGGCTCACTGCAATCTTCCCCTCTTACCCCCTCAACCCCTACCTCCCAGGGTTCAAGCGATTCTCCTGCCTCAGCCTCCCAAGTAGCTGGGATTACAGGCACCCGACACCATGCCCGCCTAATTTTTGTATTTTGGGTAGAGATGGAGTTTTGTCATGTTGGCCAGGCTGGTCTCGAATTTCTGACCTCAGGTAATCCACCTGCCTCGGCCTCCCAAAGTGCTGGGATTACAGGTGTGAGCCACCGCGCACAGTCCCGTAATATTTTCTATAGAGATTGTACTAATTTACATTCCAGCTAATGTGTATAAGCATTCCCTTTTCTCTACATCCTTACCAACATCTGTTGTTTTTTGACATTTTAATGATAGCCATTCTGATTGGTGTAAGACAGTTTCCCATTGGGGTGTTAACTTGAATTTCTCTGGTGCTTAGTAATGTTGAACATTTTTTCATATGTTTGTTGGCCCTTGTATGTCTTCTTTTGAAAAATCTCTGTTCATGTCTTGTGCCTAATTTTTAATGAGGTTATTTGCTTCTATTTTTCTTTGTTGTTGTTCTTTTCCTTTAACTTGTATTTCAACTTCCGGCATACATGTGCAGTTTGTTACATAGGTAAATATGTGCGATGGTGGTTTGCTGCACAGATCAACTCATTACCCAGGTATTAAGCCCAGTGTCCATTAGCTGTTCTTCATGATTCTCTCTCTCCCCCCACCCCGACAGGCCCCAGTGTATGTTGTTCCCCACCATAGGTTCATGTGTTCTCATTGTTCAGCTCCCACTTATAAGTGAGAACATGTGGTAGTTGGTTTTCTGTTTCTACATTAGTTTACTGAAGATAACATCTTTCAGCTCCATTCATGTCCCTGCAAAGGACATTATGTCATTTTTTCTCACTGCATAGTATTCCATGGTGTCAAGGTACCACATTTTCTTTATCTAGTCTATCATTGATGGGTGTTTGGGTTGATTCCATATCTTTGCTATTGTGAATAGTGCTGCAATGATCATACACGTGCATGTATCTTTATAATAGAATAACTTATATTCCTTTGGGTATATACACAGTAATGGGATTGATGGTTCTAATGATATTTCTGCCATTAGATCTTTGAGGATTTGCCATACTGTCTTCCACAGTGGTTGAACTTATTTACATTCCCACCAACAGTGTAAAAGTGTTCCTTTTTCTCCACAGCCTCACCAGCATCTGTTGTTGCTTGGGTTTTCAATAATCATCATTCTAACTGGCATAAGATGGTATCTCATTGTGGTTTTGATTTGCTTTTCTGTAATGATCAGTGATATTGAGCTTTTTTTCATATTTCTTGTCTGCTTGGATCATGATAGTTTCTTTTGCTGTGCAGAAGGTCTTTAGTTTAATTAGATCCCATTTGTCGATTTTTGCATTTGCTGCTATTGCTTTTGGTGTTTTTGTCATGAAATCTTTGCCTGTGTCTATGTCCTGAATGGTATTACCTAGATTTTCTTCTATTTTTTTGTGTATTTTATTTTAGGGTCTTTACATTTAAACCTTTAATCCCTCTTGAGTTAATTTTCGTGTAAGGTGTAAGGAAGGGGTCCAGTTTCAGTTTTCTGCAGATGGCTAGCAAGTTCTCCCGGTACTATTTATCAAATACAGAATCATTTCCCCTTTGCTTGTTTTTGTCAAGTTTGTAGAAGATCATATGGTTGTAGCTGTGCAGTCTTATTTCTGAGTTCTCTATTCTATTCCACTGGTCTATACATCTGTTTTTGTACCAGTGCTATGCTGTTTTGGTTACTGTAGCCTGGTAGTGTAGTTAGAAGTCGGGTTGCCTGATGCCTCCAGCTTTATTCTTTTTGCTTAGGATTGTCTTGGCTATTTGGGCTTTTTCTGGTTCCGTGGGAACTTTAAAATAGTTTCTTCTAATTCTGTTAAGAATGTCAATAGCAGTTGAAGGGGAAAAGCATTGAATCTACAAATTACTATTTTCACAACATTGATTCTTCCTATCCATGAGCATAGAATTTTTTTTCCCATTCTTTTGTGTCCTCTCTGATTTATTTGAGTAGCGGGTTGTAGTTTCCCTTGAAGAGCTCCTTCCCTTCCCTTGTTAGCTGTATTCCTATTTATTTTATTCTCTTTGTAGCAATTGTAAATGAGAGTTTATCAATAATTTGGCTCTCTGCTTGCCTGCTGTTGGTTTATAGGAATGGTAGCGATTTTTGCACATTGTTTTTGTATGCTGAGACTTTGCTGAAGTTGCTAATCAGCTTAAGAAGCTTTGTGCTGAGTCGCTGGGGTTTTCTAGATACAGTATCATGTCATCTGCAGAGACAATTTGACTCCCTCTCTTCCTATGCAAATACCATTTATTTCTTTGTCTTGCTTGATTTCTCTGACCAGAACTTCCAATACTATTTTGAATAGGAGTGGTGAGAGAGGGTATCCTTGATCTTGTGCTGTGTTTCAAGGGGAACACTTCCCGATTTTGCCCATTCAATATGACATTGGTTGTGGGTTTGTTACATGTGACCCTTATTCTTTTGAGATATGTTCCTTCAATACCTAGTTTATTGAAAGTTTTTAAAATAAAGCGATGTTAAATTTTATCAAAGGCCTTATTTGCATCTATTGAGATAATCGTGGTTTTTGTCTTTATTTCTCTTTATGTGAGTAATTACATTTATTGATTTGTGTTTGTTGAATCAATCTTGCATCCCAGGGATGAAACTGACTTCATTATGGTGGATAAGCTTTTTGATGTGCTGCTGGATTTGGTTTGCCAGTATTTTATTAAGAATTTTTGCATGCATGTTCATGAGGGATATTGAGCTGAAGTTCTCTGTTTTTGTTATATCTCTGCCAGATTTTGGTATCAGGAAGATGCTGGCCTCATAAGATGTCTTAGGGAGGAGTCCCTTCTTTTCAATTGTTTGAAATAGTTTGGGTAAAATGGTACCAGCTGTTCTTTGTACTACCTCTGGTAGAATTCTGCAATAAATCCATCTGATCCTGGGATTTCTTTGGTTGGCAGGCCATTCACTACTGCCTCAATTTCAGAACTTGTTATTTGTTTACTCAGGGAATCAATTTCTTCCTGCTTGAGTCTCGGGAGAGTATATGTGTCCAGAAATTTATCAATTTCTTTTATATTTTCTAGTTTATATGCATAGAGGTATTCACAGTATTATCTGATGGTTGTTTTTATTCCTATGGTGTCACTTGTGATATTCCCCTTATCATTTCCGATTGTGTCAGTTTGGTTCCCTTCTCTTTTTTTCTTTATTAGTCTAGCTAGTGGTCTATTTTTTTTTTTTTTTTTTGAAAAAAAAACCAGCTCCTGCATTCATTGATGTTTTGAAGGATTTTTCATTTTTCTATCTCCTTCATCTGTGCTCTCATCTTGGCTATTTCTTGTCTTCTGCTAGCTTTGGGGTGTGTTTGCTCTTGGTTCTGTAGTTCTTTTGGGTGTGATATTAGATTGTCAATTTGAGATCTTTCTAGCTTTTTGATGTGGGCATTTGGTGCTATAAATTTTCCTCTTAACACTGCCTTAGCTGTGTCTTAGAGATTCTGGTATGTTGTCTCTTTGTTCTCATTAGTTTCAAAGAACTTCTTGATTTATGCCTTAATTTCAGTATTTACCCATGAGTCATTGAGGGGCAGGTTGTTCAATTTCCATGTAGTCTTGTGGTTTTGAGTTAGCTTTTTAATCTTGAGCTCTAATTTGATTGTGCTGAGGTCCGAGAGACTGTTTGTTATGATTTAAATTCTTTTGTACCATGTGGTGATGAGAAGAATGTAATTCTGCTGTTTTTCGATGGAGAGTTCTGTGGATACCTGTCAGGTCTACTTGATCCAGACCTAAGTTCAGGTCCTGAATATCTGTTAATTTTCTGTCTCAATGATCTGTCTAATATCATCAGTGGAGTGTTAAAATATCCCACTATTATTGTAGACTCTTTGAAGGTCTCTAAGAACTTGCTTTATGAAGCTGAATGCTCTTGTATTGTGTGTATATATATTCAGTATAGTTAGCTCTTCTTGTTAAATTGAACCCTTTACCATTATGTAATGCCCTCCTTTGTCTTGTTTGATCTTTGTTGGTTTAAAGTCTGTTTTGTCAGAAACTAGGATAGCAACCCCTGCTTTTTTCTGTTTTCCATTGGCTTGGTAAATATTCCTCCATCCCTTTATTTTGAGCCTGTGTGTCTTTGCATGTGAGATGGGTCTGTTGTAGAGAGCATAACCATGGGACTCTTTATCCACTTGCCATTATGTGTCTTTTTTGGAGGCATTTAGCCCATTTACATTTAATGTTAATATTTTTATGTGTGAATTTGATCCCATCATCATGATGCTAGCTGGTTATTTTGCAGAGTTGTTTATGTGGTTGCTTCATAGTGTCACTAGTCTGTGTACTTCATTGTGCTTTTGTAGCAGCTGGTAACAGTTTTTCGTTCCCATATTTAGTGCTTCCTTCAGGAGCTCTTGCAAGGCAGGCATAGTGGTGATGTATTCCCTCAATATTTGCTCGTTTGAAAAAAATATTATTTCTCCCTCTCTTTTGAAGTTTAGTTTGGCCAGATATGAAATTTAGGTTGGAAATTCTTTAAGATTGTTGAATATTGGCCCCCAATCTCTTCTGGCTTGAAGGGTTTCCACTGAGAGGTTGGCTGTTAGTCTAATAGGTTTATCTTTGTAGGTGATCTGGCCTTTCTCTCTGGCTGCTCTTAACATTTTTTTTATTTTATTTTCAACTTTAGAGAATCTGAAGATTATGAGTCTTGGGGTTAATCTTCTCATGGAATACCTTACTGGGGTTCTATGGATTTTCTGAATTTGAATGTTGTCCTGTCTTGCTAGGTTAGGGTAGTTCTCCTGGATGATACCCTGAAGTATGTTTTTCAACTTGGCTTAATTCTCTGTCTCTTTCAGGTTCTGTCTTTTAACATAATCCCATATTTCATGGAGGTTTTGTTTGTTCCTTTTTATTTTGTTTTCCTCTATTCTTGTCTACCTGTCTTATTTCAGGAAGATAGTCTTCAAGCTTTGATATTCTTTCATTTTTGTGGTCTATTCAGCTATTGATACATGTGATTGCATTGTGGATTTCTAGTGTTGCATTTCTCAGTTTCATCAGAGCAGTTATGTTCCTCTCTAAACTGGCTATTGTGGTTGTCAGCTTGTATTGTTTTATCATAATTCTTAGCTTCTTTGCATTGTGTTAGAACATGCTCCTTTAGCTCAGTGAAGTTTGTTATTACCCACTTTCCAAAGCCTTGTTCTGACAATTCAGCCATCTCAGCCTCAACTCAGTTCTGTGCCTTTGCTGGAGAAATGCTGCAGTCATTTGGAAGAGAAGCAGCACTCTGGCTTTTTTAGTTTTCAGCATTTTTGCATTGATTCTTTCTCATCTTTGTGGGTTTATCTGCCTTTGATCTTTGAAGTTGCTGACCTTTCAATGGGGTTTTTGTGGGGTCTTTTTTGTTGTCATTTTCTGATTGATTTCATTTGACAGTAAGGCCCCTCTTCCATAGGGCTGATGCATTTTTCTGGGGATTCACTCCAGACCCTAGTCACCTTGGTCCCTCCTGCACCTTGTGATGTCACCAGTGAAGGCTATGAAACAGCAAAGACAGCAGCCTTCCCCTTCCTCTGGGAGCTCTGTCTCAGGTGGGCACCCATTCCTGTGTGAGGTGTCTGGAGACCCCTATTGGAAGGTCTCACCCAGTCAGGAGGAATGGGATCAGAGACCCACTTAAAGAAGCAGTCTGGCTGCGCTTTGGCAGAGCAGGTGTGCTGTGCTGACTGCTCTGCCTCTCCAGAGCCAGCAGCCTGGAAAGGCTATGTCGCTGAACTGAAGAGACAGTGGCTACCCCATCCACCAGGGTCTCCATCCCAGGGAGATACCAGAGTTCTGTCCATAAAACCCTGGCTGGAGTTGCTGAAATTCACACAGGGAGGCCCTGCCCAATGTTGAGGGGTATATTGGGGGCCCATTTAAAGAAGTAGATTGTCCACGATCAAGCACAACATCTGTGCTGCATTGTGGGGAATTCCTCCCGGTCCCTGGTGTTGGAAGGCTAGACAGCCAACTGGAACGTCAGGTATGGTGGCCACCCTTCCCCCCGGGAACTCAATTTGTCTCAGGCCATCTCCTGCCTCCTGCCACTGGCTGGCTGGAATTCCAAACAAGTGGGTTTTAACTTGTGAGGTACCAGGGGAGTGAGGCCTGTGGAGCAACGCCACTTGGCTCCCTGGATTCAGCATACTTCCTAGGGGAATGCATGGGATCTCTTGCCTTGCCAGAATTCCCAGGTCTGGAGTATGTAAAACTCCTGGGTCTCCCTGCATGCCCTAGAAAGTGAGTGAGCAGCCACTCTAACAAGACTCCACAGCTCTGTGCTTTGGACCCAGGACCTGGCGGTGTCTGCTCATGAGAGGATCTCCTGATCCATGGGTTGGAAAGATTCATAGGAAAAGCATAGTTTCCCAGGCAGGGTCACACAGTCATTGACAACCTCTCTTGGCTAGGGATGGGGGCTACCCTGGCTTCATGCCACTCCTGTGTGGGCTGTTGCCCCACCTTGCTTTTCCTCACTCTCCATGGGTTGAGGCATCTGCCTAGTCAGTCCCAGTGTGAGAACCTGGATACCTCAGTTGAAGGTGCAGAATTCATTGGCACTTTTCATTGCTCTCCATGAGAGCAGCAGACCACAGCTGCTTCTAATTGGCCATCTTGGCCCCTCTCCACTTCTATTTTTCTTATAGAGTTGTTTGAGGTCCCTGTAGATTCTGAATATTAGCTTTTTGTTGGCTGCATAGTTTGTACATATTTTTTGTATTCTTTAAGTTATTGTTTATTCTGTTGATTATTTATTTTGTTGTACAGAAGGTTTTTTTTTAGTTTAATTAAGCCCCATTTGTCTATTTTCGGTTTCGTTGCATTTGCTCTTGAGGTCTTAGTCATAAGTTATTGCCTAGGCCAATGTTCAGAAGAGATTTTCCTAGGTTTTCTCATTATATCTTAGTGCAAATAGCCAGAGCAGATAGTCTTGAAATAGTCTCAAGTGTTACATTTAAGTATTTAATATATTTTGAGTTAATTTTCATATATCGTGAGAGATATGGGTCCAACTTTATTCTTCTGCATATGGATATACAATTTTCCCAGCAACACTTATTTAATAGAATGTCCTTTCCTCAGTGCAGTTTTTTGTCAACTTTGTTGAAGATGAGATGGTTGTAGGCATGTGACTTTATTTCTGGGTTCTTTATTCTATTTCATTAATCTACAGGTTTATTTTTATACCAGTACAATGCTATTTTGGATATTACAATCTTTTAGTATTATTTGAAGCCCAGTAATGTGATGCCTCTTTTTTTAAATTTGTGTGTTTTGATTGATTTCGATTTTTTTTCTTTTTTTTTTTTTTGACTTAAGATTGCTCTGGCTATTGGCTCTATTTTGGTTCCATATGAATTTTAGGATTATTTTTTCTTATTCTGTGAAAAATGTCACTGGTAATTTGATAGGAATTTCATGGAACCTGTAGATTGCTTTAGGCAGTATGCTTATTTTAGCATTATTGATTCTTCCAATCCATAAGAATGGGAAATCTTTCTACTTCTTTGTGTCATCTATGGTTTACTTCATCAGTGTTTTGCAGTTCTCTTTATTGAGATCTTTTACCTCCTTGGTTAAATGTATTCCTAGTAATTTTATTTATTTTGTAGCTGTTGTAAGTGGGATTGAATTCTTGATTTGGTTCTCAGCTTGATCATTATTTGTGCATAAAAGTGCCACTAATATAATTACTTTGATGTTTTATTCTGAAACTTTACTAAATTCATTTATCAAATCTAGAATTCTTTGAGAGAAGTCTTTAGAGTTTTCTAAGTGTAAGATTACATCAGCAAAAGAGAAATTTGACTTCCTCTTTTACTATTTGGATGCCTTTTATTTTTTTCTCTTGCATGACACCTCTGGCTAGGACTTCCAGTAATATGTTAAATAGGAATGGTGAAAGTGGGCATTCTTGTCTTGGTCCAGTTCTTAGGGAAAATGATTTTAACTTTTTCCCATTTAGTGTTATGTTAACTATGGGTTTGTAGTATATGGCTTTATATATTTTGAAATACCTTCCTTCTGTGCTCCAGTTTGTTGAGAATTTTTGTAAAGAAGAAATGCTGAATTTTAATGATTGTTTTTTCTGCAGCTATTGAAATGATCAAAGGCATTTTTTAACAGTGGCTTTACTATTTTACAATAAGACCAGAAATGTGTTACCATTCCAATTGTTCGAATTTTTATCAACATTTTGGATTAGCACACTTTTATCTTTTCATATTTACAGGCAAGTGATATTTTGTGATAATTTAATGTAAAGTTTCTTGAATAAAAATAAAGTTATTAATTTTTTTGTATTTATCAGTAAATTGTATATTGTGTGTGTGTGTGAGAGAGAAAGAGAGAGAAAAGTGTCTTCGTAAATGCTTACTCATTTTTAATTGTTTGTTTCATTTTTAGGAGTAATTATGCATTCTGACACAAGTCTTTTATTGGATAAATATGTCTGAAACATTCTAAATATTATTTTGGTCTGTATCTTGACATTTCATTTTTAATAGTGTCTTAGATAAATGTTTGCTTTTATTTTGATTAAATTTGTCATTCAATTTCCTTTATAATTAATAGTTTTGCCCTATCTAGGAAATATTCGCCTAGTTGAAAATTGTAAATACATGAAATACTGTGTAACAGATACATTATCCACTTGTCTTTGTTATTGAATAAACAGCTTTCTACTTCCCTGTGAGGGGCTTATTCTTCGTGTAAATCAGCTCTATAAGAATTTGTGATGTTGGCCCTTTTTTTATGACATAGTGAGAAATATATGGTGTTATTCTATCTGTTAAAAATATATACATGAGAACAAGCTTGCTTTTTATACTTCTACATCCTAATCAAAAGTGGAAGATCTATTTTTTCTAATTTTAATAATAATTATTTGCATACATCACTGTCTAATACAATAAAGGATGTTTATGATTCGTTATTAGGTTACTTAAAAAAGATGTGTTTTAAGAGACAGGAAAATATTCAGGACATTTTATTAAAAACCTGATATCGTGATTAATCTAGCAAGCATTTACACTTAATAAACAAGATTTCAATTGCATAAAAAATTATGCCATTTGCAAAAGCTCAATTCCTTATACTGTTGGTGAAAGTGATTTTATTCTATCAAGTACATATAACTTTTAGTTAAAAATTTATCAATAAGCAAGGTGCAGTGGCTTATGCCTATTATCCCAGCAATTTGAGAGGCCGAGGCGGGTGGATAATTTGAGGTCAGGAGTTCAAGACCAACTTGACCAACATGGGAAAACACTGTCTCTACTAAAAATACAAAAAAATAGCCAGGTGTGGTGGTGCACGCTTGTAATCTCAGCTACTTGGGAGTCTGAGGCAAGAGAATCCCTTGAACCTGGGAGGTGGAGGTTGCAGTGAGCCAAGATTGTGCCACTGCACTCTAGCCTAGGTGACTGAGCAAGAGTCTGTCTCAAAAAAAATAAAAATACAAATAAAAAAGTTTATCAATAAAGCTCAGTAAAATTTTGTAATTAAAAAATAAAAAAGTCTGTGCCTACAAGTGCTCACATATAGTGTAATTACTTTTTAGTCAAAGGTTGGCTCTACAATGTAGGATTTTGATTTTAAAATAGTGACACTTTTCATTTTGAGAGAGGAGTTTAACCTTCATTTCACGCTTAATGAAATGGACTTAATTAGCCTTTGTATTTTGTATTAGTAGTTAGGTCATCTGAGACCAATTTTAATGTTTGCATTCATTTATAGCACTAATCCTGCTCCAAGAAGTAAATAATATAATAATTACTTTCTGTCATTTGAAGATAATACTGCTGCTATACATTGTTTATTGAATTGTCTTATTTTTAAATTTTTTATTAAATTATTGTCACCTACAAAATCTTGCTTTAATACATTTTTAGTATTATTATGTATGCTACATGATTAGTAACAAGATAATTCAAATACCTAATCTTCTCTTGTTATTATGGTTTCTAATTTTGTATGTTGTTATTAAACATTAAATATTCATGAGTTTGTTTTATTCTTTAGTTGTCACCAATGATGTAGTATGATGCTGGGGGCTAGTCTTTCTCGTGAATGTTGTTATTAGTCAAGAAATGCAATAAAATGCTCCTTGACGAATAAACTATATGATATATCGCATATTGTCTATTCTTTTAGTCATTCTACAGGAAGTCTGTCAAATGTTTCAAGCAATATTTTTCATTAAACATGAAGTCAAATTCATGAATGAATTTATATATAAGACAGTTAATCTAGCTTTGGTAAAGATTAACCTGGATTAAATATGTTTTTAGGACTTTTAAACACACTTATTCAGTTAGCATCTTTGACATCTATTTTTAAGGTATATACTTATAAATCATTTTACCATTAAAGAGCATATAACCTAAAGTTAAGCTTTGGGAAAATATGGACCAGAAAACCAAAAATTTTTGTATGAACCTCTATGTCCTAAAATATATATTAGCATAGATTTCAACTTTAGTGTATATGAACAGCATTCTTTAAGTAACTGTATTGGGAAATAATTTCAAAATGTGTGTAGGAAGGCCTATATCTTAGAAAGCAGTAAATTTTTAAGTATATATTTACTCTATATTACTAATGATACGAATAATAATATTACTAACTCAAAATGTATATCAGGTTAAATATCTACAGACCCAACATTCTGTTTCATTTTTAAAAAATTTTATAATTGAATTATGTAGTACTTTTCACACTATTCCATGCTCTATTTTGAATAGTTTTAATGCCTGAGCTGTATTGACTTCTACTAGCAAGACAGTGATTGTTATTCTAAGGCAACACATCAGTCCTTCTTCAGTAGACTGATGTTAAATGTAGATATGATATTAATATACTTTCTTTGACCAAATAATTCCTGCTGCATCATCTCATGAAGCAAGCTACATAGATTTGTCACAACTAGATAATGCTCAAAATTTGAAGTGATTTTGTTTCACCTAGTCCCATCCACTACATCCCTTCATAGACCTTGGATTGCATCAGAGCCAAGTCTCTACTGAATACATGCAGTTAAGGGTACCACATTAAAATGAAGCAGAGGAGCAGCCTTTGATTTGAATGTATCTAACTTAAGCAAACACAATTTTTCAATAACAAAAATAAAAATATTTTGGCTAGTTTCAATTGACTAATTCTAAATCACCTCTAGTTGTTTCTACATTTTAAACCAAAACATCAGTTTTGTAGTCTAAACCTATGTAGGAGTTAGATGTTTCTTCAGTTCCATTGATAAACCTTAAGAAATACCTGTGAAAATATTTCTCAATATGAATGACAATCTTTTTGCACTGTCTTCATATTATTAATATTTAGATTCACAAATAAAGTATTAAGCAATATTATTACCCTCTACTACAAAGGTTAAAATAAATTATTCAAGAATCCCAAGACATAATAGATAATCTTAGTTAGATTTCCTATTCACATCTATGGGAACTGTGAATCATTACTGAAAAGAAAAAAAAAAAAAAAAAAGAAAGTTTTCCAAAATGTTGAGAAAACATGGAGGAAGTATTTTTAATTTTGTGATGAATCAGAAATACATTCAACTTTTAATTTTCTCTTATTAAAAGTTAATAGGAAAACATAACTTTTCTTTATGATTTATTAACTGTGTGATATAAGTACTTGGATTTAACACTTTCAATATAAGAAAGCTGAGGGTTAGGGAGATTTAGGTACTTTCCCAAAACTTCATAAATAAAAAAAGGAAAGCATGGTTTAACATAGGACTTATCATTTAGCCAGAGTATCAGTCAAACCATATCAGGTTATGCTGCAGTGCAAACATGCTCAGTATCTCATTGCTATATGTTTATATATATATATATATATATATACACACACACATTATATATATGTATATAATGTGTATATATATGTATATATATAATGTATATATATATATATAAAGTTATTTCTTACCTATGGTATAGGTTCATTGCAGTTTGGATGCAGCCAGCTCCTTGGAACCCAAGACGAAACATTTATTATCTGGAATAAGGTCAACCACTTTTACAAAAGAAAGAAAATTTCTCGAGTTAAATAATAAATCTTAAATGTTTCTGCTTTAAAGAACTCCTAAGAAGCAAGGATGATCAGAGCGTAAGTCTACACAACCTTTTTATAGTACAATTTGAAACTATACCTGGAAATTTAAAGCACATATTATTTTTGATGCCAAAACTGCTCTTCTAGAAATCTGTTCCAAAGATATCCCCACAACTACTCAAACTTCATTGGCCAAAGCAAATCACATAGCCATCCCACCTCCACAGTGGCAGAGAATGCAATGCAAATTGCACTTGCCTCAGAAAAGGAGTGAGGTGTATTTCCAACTCACTCACCGTGTTTGAGCATATATGCATATTTATATGTGAATATGTGGATACACAATACTTGTATACATTTCTATAAATATTACTCTGTGTATTCAAAATAAAAAATTATATTAAAGTAAATTTACTGTTAAGTATTCTGAAATTTGTAACTGTAATAGCCATGTGTGCTATTAGCAAGTTTTTACCTAAATTATATATACATATATATACATATACATGGTAGTGTATATTATATATACACTATATATTTATTGTTTTATAGTGTGTTTTTAAAACATACTTATTGTTTTATATTTATATGGTTAATTTACTTTGTTTAGGGGTTTTCTTCTTTTTTTTTGCCCTACAGATATGTTAATAAATTTTATCTGTCCAATATCATAGTCCTTCCATTGCAGCTCCTCGGATTTCATTATTATTAAAATATCTTCTTCCATTACAATATTATTAATATGAGTTCCTGTATATTTTTATATTTTAAATGTATCATTAATTTTATGTCATTGATTCATGAAGAAGTTATTGAAATAATGAATAGATATCTAGTCTTATTTATTTTTCTAAAGGATGACTTGTAAAACACTTTTCTGAATCATCAATTCTCCCATGTTATTTTGAAATGAAACATTTAGTGTAGTTTAGGTTCCCATGGGTATTCTGTATTTTAAGCTCTGCCTTATTGTTATAAGTATTTATGGCTTTAGAAGCATTAGCTTAAGCATCCTGTCAGTAGAAGGTATTTCAATTTCCAGTAAAGTTAGGTCTTCGTATTACCATTTATTTTCAAAACTATTATTTTCCAGCTATTCTCTTATGTTTATTTTTTCACAAAAACTTCAGAAGCATAATGCTTATTTCAGAAACTTAAGATATATTTTGTTAGTTGTATTGTTTAGGTTAAAGTAGATTTATTTATGGTAAATGTTTTTCTTAACATGTTGAATTTAGTCTTGTTTTGGATTCATACTACTGTAGATTTCTTCACTGTCTATGCTGGGGAGCATTTAAATAGCCACTAAGTTATATATTTATTCAAATTATAATAGAATTTATCCAAGAAGCACTCTGAGCTTAGGGCAATTTGAAGGAATAAGCTTGGAAGAGGCATTCTTTAAAACATCCCAGATATTCAACACAAAGCCACAGACAGCCCACTGCTATCTGTAATGACATTATGGGTACGTACTTATCCCACGCTGAAGGGAAATCCTATCCAGATCAAAGAATAAAGTCTCAGAGCACTTGTGTAAATGATTAGCCACGTTATTAAAGTGGTGTACAAACAAGGTATAAATGTAAACAAAGCCTCCAAGTACAAAAAGACAGATGGATTCCACACAGAGTGCTTTGGAAGCTTCCCACACAGCAGCCTTCGGTTAGGGCAACAAAGGCCATCTGACAGAAAAGAAAGGAGAAAGGGAGGAAGGGGAAAGGATAATCTCATGTCTATCAATTTGTGTTTTGAAGAATGAAGTTAACTAAATTTGTATGTGTTGGTAAGATGCCTAAATAGGAGTCAAATTAACAAAATGACTCTCAGTTGATTCTAAATCAATTATTTGGAGCAACAAATTGAACAAAAAGACTAGAAAATTAAGCATATAAAAGACTTTTCAAAAATATTCAAAACAATATTTTAGGAAGATTCAGTGTTGGCTTAGGCGATGGGGGTAAATTTTACTTTTTATTCTAATTTTATTGTAAAATATGTTTCCCTCATAAACTTAAGATGCCATTGATTTTTAAAGTTACCATCATCTTACAGACTTGAAGAAGTAAAATCAGCCAATTAATCTGTTATAAAAAGTTTCTTATCACATTCACTGTAAGCATCTGTTATTAGGGATATTGAAAGATTTTTTAAAACAATGTTAAAATTAAATAAATATAAGAATCATAAAAACAATTTCTTTTTAGCATTAAGTTTCTGAAAATTGAATGCATTATTTTATTTCAAATATTTGCTGTTTTTAACCTGCAAATCAATAATTTATCCATTATTAGAGCTAGTACAAAGTTTTTATCCCTTCTTGTTCATATATATAAGTAATCTCAGAATTCTATAGCTACTATATTGTGTAGAGAAACCTTTTACATTCCAATTTTTAAAATTTATTATTACCATTTGAAAAGTAAATTTATAATGTGAGTATTAAATTATTGTCTATGCCTGGCTTTTATCCTTTGACCAACTGTATGTTTTCCTCAACTACATGAAAATGTTACAGCTTTTTTGTGAATTAATAATTCCAATGAATACTCATTCACCATACATTGCAACTAGGCATATTATTTACAAGTCAATAGTATAGGATACAATGCTTTGAAATATCAATAGCTAATATCATTGCATATTTTTTAAAATATAGAAACACAACTCTGTCAGAATGAAATCTGTAGAAGAACATTACATTGTCTAAGCATTTGTTTTAAAAATTTCTTTAAGTTGCATTGTTTCTCAGTCATATTAAATAGATTCTCATTTGTTGAAAAATGTTTCCTATATTTGTCTATTTAATTTACTGAACTCAAGGGCATGGATAAAAGGAAATGAAAACTCTCTCTGTGAGACTTTATCTATAACCTTGTATAATCAGGATATATGTCCAAATGTTCTTTCCGAGTTTCAACTTCAAATCACAGATGTAAAAAATATTGATTATACCTCATTATTTTTAATGGAGAAAAGTCTGACAGAGAATGTGTTTCTGTCAGTAACTCTTGGCTCTTCCAAGGTATGGTAAATTGATTTTTGATATCAAATTTAATTAAATGTCAAATACAAATTATTTATTAATTCTTAAATCATTAACATAGAAAAGAATTTATAATGTAAAACAATGTTAGTTAATAAAATATAAAAGTTAAAAATAAAGTAGCATTCTAGATATTCTAATTATTTATTAATATTTATATCATTTCAATATGAATTTTAAAATTTAGCATACAATTCTTTTTTCACCTCAACAACTCTTGATTTCCCAGGAAATTTGAAATAATGAATTTAACGAAGTCCAGATCTTCTCCATGTAATGAGGAGCAATCAGGAAATTATGTGAAGATAAATATACTTGATTTATCCTGATTCCTCCTTATGATAATATGATTTCTAACACTTGAAAATGAATGGCATTCATCTAAAATTCCCATTCCTGTCTAATTTGAAGTACAATAACAGACTGAATTTTTCTCTTCATTTCATTAGAGGATGGAGGCAGCTCTCTCCATGTCTGTGGTTCGAGTCACATTGCTACCTGTGAGCAGAGGTGACCTCCTGTTGCTGTTAAGATTCATGCTACCTCCTGGGTAGTATCATATGTAATAGTATCACTTTTTAAACATTTTGGTCAAATAAATTTTTACATAAAGTACAAAAAAGAAGAGATTCATGCTACCTCATCTCATCTCCCCTGCTTGTCCTCACAGCCCTGCCCTTGAGCCTCTCATATTTCCTTCTCTCTAGAACGTGGTCTTGTCAGTGTGGCTCTGTCTCTTTCTCTTGATTGCAGCACCTTGCAAAAGAAAAAAAAAATATTTCTGGATACTAAATCTGACTTGTAACACAACTTGATTAAATTCCGTTATATAATTATTTGGGAACGTGGGGAACATTTTTTTTCTATTTTTCTTATTTTAATGTAGATGATTTTCCTCCCCTTAAATAGTCCTGGTCTTTTGAATCATCCCATTTATCACTCCACAGAGATAGAGTGTTTTACGTGAGAAGTAGGTGGCAGCCACTTACTGATTTCTGGATGGGTTTTTATATTTTCTATCAAAATTCCTGAGCATGGAAGGGTAGATTTCTTTCTAATGCTTCCCTACTTTCTTGACACACTTGCCATAAACTTTAGGTTTGTGCAAAGTAATAATCTCAGTAAGCGAGTGTACTGTGCATACTTAAGGTTTCATCCTGTTGCACTGTTTTATAATCTAAACTGAGCAGTAAGGCAGGAATTATTAGAAAGCATGCTGTGCCTCACCTATGGAAACCATATCCTCCATGCCACTTTCCCCAGAAATAAAGCTAACAGTTTTATCTTCAGTTTATTAATTCTGTTGTTCTATTCACTTGCTCAGAACTCAAGAAAGAAGAAAAGTTTAGTTATCCTAACTATTAAAGTCACTCCTCGGAACACTCTTAATGGTTTAGCCTCTCTCTCATTTGATTATCTTCCTTGGGACAAATTCAGCCCTACTTGAAAACAATTGTTCCCTGGGATAATTGAGCAACAAAATATTGTTGAAAAAAAAGTAACACAAATCTGCTGACTTGTATTACTTTAAATTTGTTACCACAAATCTCAATGAACACCCAATATTGCCACCTATATTACCGCATTTAGTTATATTTCTGCTTTGCCATTTCATGAAATGTCAATTTCACAACTATCACTTCGTTAGTGAAACTGTCCATGTGCTATTCCTCTCCCTTCCTTTCAACATACTATTTTGGCTTATTCTTCATCGAGAAAAGAGAAGCAGAACAACATATTTATGCCTCCAATTGAACAAACATTTGCAGGGACATGCTGCTACTCTTTTCTTCTTCTGATTGTACTACATGAGCTGAATTGGCTCCTCTCAAAGTCAACCCCTGCCCTACTGTAAATTTCATATCCTGTCTCTTCAAAGAAGCTTTTTCTAATAGCCATCTCCTTTGTCTTTTACAAGATGAATTGTATTTTAGTGTATATATAGGTAATTCACATCAGCATACAAACATACTCAATTTCTCTGATAATATATTAACTCATCTACCTATTAAATATCCTCCTTTGGCATATACTTCACTGTAGCAGCTGATTAGTATATTTTCTCCTGAGTTTCTTACAATTGTTTTCTGTTTATACTTGTGTACATCATATCTTTTTCATCCCACTTAAATCAGGTGAAGTGTCTCAAAAATGACTTACTAAAGCCACTAATTGCTGTGTTGAGAAACCATTTACCTAGTTTCATCTTATTCACCCTCTGAACAAACATGTAAAGGCTTGCCTTCTCTAGATATTTCATTTTATTGACTTTCTTTACATTATATTCTAATCATTTCTCATTCAGCCCACCAGCCATTCATACACATGTTCTTTGAAAGCCATTGCTCCAACTGGAGACTTTATTTTGAGAGAATAGGGTTGTGTACAAGGCTAACTTCTCTCATCTACCTATAATGATAATCTGGTAATCTATTCTAGTCCACGCCTTTAAATGCCATTCAGACATTGAACTCTTCTAAGTTACACCTCCAAATCAAGTTTCTTTCCTATATTTTGAAAAGCTTTTTCAAGTTAGCATGTTAAAAACTAAAATTCTTGTTTAATTTTCTCAAAGCTTCCCCTATTATAAGAACGGGGGTCATATCCAGCCTCATAGCAATAGAAGGCATCATCATCTATTATATAATTCCAAATCCCAAAATTGAGATGCTTTTATTTCCCTTATGCTTAATATCCAAGTCTAAAGCTGAATCTCCTAAGTATCTCAACATTCAGTAAATTCAGTTTGATTTATATTCACTAGTATGACCATGGTGAAAATCATCACATAACAGTCTACCCAAGTGCAGGATTGCTGAAAGTGCATTATTCACAGTCTTGAGCGTGCTTGACTTCCATACAAGGTGAAATTATCATTGTCCATTCAACCAAGTGGCATATAAAGATAATCTGATAGCAGAGTTATGAAAGGCCCTAAGAAACTAATTAAAAATTTCTGAATTATAGAAAGAGTACTAACCATTTAAAATAAATGCAAAAAACAAGAAAACAAAATCAATAAACAAATATACTCTATCAATTAGGAAAAGAGAAAAGCAAAACCTTAACTCTTGGGTCAAAGAGAAAAGTACCAACTGATATTAAATTATTAGTTTTGAAAAAGAACAGAGTGAATTGAAAAACATCATCAAAACTAATGAGATAACTAGGAAACATTAATCAGCAAAAAATTTGTACTCTTGAAGATGTATTTTAAGATGTGGGGTAATTAAGTAAATGATTAAGCATACATTGTAAGAGTTTCAGAAAGAAAGTATATATAAAATATATCAAAGGAAGCCTGAAAAAAAGAAAGATGAAAAGTTAGTAAATATTAAATTAAAAATTGATGAAATAGAAAGCAAGTTAATCCATAGAACTAAGAAATACGTTATAAATACATGTATTTGCTGGTTCTTTAATAAACACATTTTTAAAACTACACAATTAGACCATTAGCTAACATAGTCAAAAATGAAATATAAAATTTAAATATAAAAACTTCTGTTATTTTATAAAATAGAAAAATGTAATAACCAAAGGCAACACATAAGCTGATGAAATTATAAATAAAGTTCAAAGCAGAATGTAACAATTTTTTTTTTAATTCTGTGGAATTGGATGAAGTTAGTATTCTATGAAAAAAAAACTACCAAAGTTTTTTTACAAAACATAGAAAATATGAGAAAACTAATTATTATTAATAATAAATTGGTTTTTAAAAGAATTCATATACCTACAGAAAACTCTTATTTAAAAAACATTTAATAGATAAATTATAATTAAAAATTAGAGAAAAAAGTTAAAGTATAGAATATTATTTTGAGAGCATGAAAAAAAGAAATCTACCATAATTTTTGTAAATTAGTCAACACTGATAATGAAACTGGAAAAAAAAGCCCTGAAATAAAAATTAAATATTAATCATACTTTAAAAATTACTTATGAGTATATCAAATAACAATAATTTGTTTGAAATCAAACAAGAGTTAAAATTTATTTAAAAAATTAAATAAATGGGAAAACACAGAAACATTCTGAAAATAACATAGAGGGGTGGCTACCTATTTTAGCATTTATGAGATACAGTAACAAACACAGTGACATAATGATTTTGAAAAGACAAACATTAAGACTAGAAAATGGAAAAGCAAGCATACTTGTATCAAAATATCATACGTATCTCATAAGTATGTAAACTATTATAAATTTATAAAATTTTAAAGTAAAGAAATTAAAAACCAAATGGGCAAGGATCAAATATAAAAGAGGATTTATTAGGTCATAAAAATAACAGCTCTTATCAGTAAAAGGAAGATAAAGTTGGATCTATCAACGCTTAGTAAACTAGAAATTGTCTTAATGAAATAAATAATAGCTTTTTAAAAAGACTAATACCCTACTTAATGTTCAAATATTGACTGACTTCTCTGAAACTGAAATTGAAGTGATCATGCCCCTTCAAAGAATTTCTATTCAACAATGTAATAAGGCATTTAAAGCTAATTAAAGTATTAAGATTAGAGAGAAAGAAATAAAACAGCATTATGCTCATAAGATTATGCACTTAGAAAATGTAAAATAATAGATACAAAAATAAATTCATTTAATAAGTGAGGTTAGCAATTAATGAGTGAAATTTACCATTAAAACTTCTGCTTGTATAAGTTTAATATATATAAATTAATTTTAATTCTCTATATCAGCAAAAAATATTTAGAAAACAAAATTTTTCAACAGGTGTTATTCATACTAGCTCCAAAAAATATTATATACATGGGAATGAAGCTAAATAAAGAAGTACAAATCTGCTAAATATCATATTATTGAAAAAAATTTCAAAAAAATTAAATGAAAATAAAAGACTACATTGATTGCATTGGTAGAATGCAAATTTAATTAAGAAATCACATTACCAAATATCAATACTTATCAGAATGCACCAGAAATTAAAAACACATATTGGCATAAAAATAACCAAATCAATAAATGTAGCAAATTAATTAGAGAATAAAGAGTCCAGGTAAAGATTTAACTGTATTAAACTTTTAATGAACATCAAAGTTGATACTCTAGGGCTGTGAAGGAAAGACAACTATTTTAAATTAAAGAATAAGATCTAATATTTGATATCACAACAGGGTGACTATCATCATCAATAATTTGTCGCACATTTTGGAATAACTTTGGAATTAAAAGAATGTTTATAACTCAAAGAAATTATGAATGCTTGAGGTGATGGATATACCATTTACTCCAATGTGATTATTTCACATATTTCTGTATCAAAATATCTCATGCAATCGATAAATATATACACCTACTATGTACCTGTAAAAATTAAAAATTAAAATAAAATAAATGCTGCCAAGTCAATTAAATGCACATAGGTAAGAGAGAGGGTTAGGGTGAGAGATAAAGAAGAAGAAGAGAGTGTGAGAAATGATAGAATGTGAGGAAAAAGAAGTGAGAAAAGAAAAGCAAAAAATTGGACCCCATTAAATCATACAAAAATATTCCATGTGGAATATAGTTTTAAATGTTAAAGGAAAAACAATACATTTCTAGGAGACAGGAGATATAAACATGCCATGATATACATTTAATGAGAACAACTCTCTCTTAATTGGAAACTACTACTACTGACCTTATAGGACAGTGTTGATATTAAATTCGTGACCATAAATTCTCACAAATATTTCTTTAAAAAATGATGAAGCATGTCACAGGCTGGGAGATATTTGTATACCTTTAACCAAAAAAAAAAAAAAAAAAAAAAAAACAAAAAACTCACATTTAAACTATGTAAAACATCCCACAAATCAAGAAGATAAAAAAGGAGAAAAATCTATTAAAAAAAAAAGGGCAAATACTTGAACAGGTCTTCATTAATGGAGAATAGCCAAGTGACCAACAAACATATAAAAGTTAATTAATCTAATCAGTCCTTAAAGTATTTGTCAAATGTTGCCCAATCCATACATCCAAATAGCTAAACTTAAAAACTGACAATATCAAGTGTTGAGAATATAGATCAACATGAATTATTATATACTGCCTTTAGGGACATAAAGTGATATACGTAGAGATATAAACACTTTGAGAGAGTATTTCGTAGCATGTACTAAAGGTTAAATTAATATATACCATAACTTACACCAAAGCAGTTCTACTCTGAGGAATATACCAAGGAGAAATGCAAACACATCACAATGGCCAAAAATACAAAAGTAAATAAAAATGTCAAACAAAAAATTCATTCATTATTTATAGTTATAAACAAGTTGAAAATAACTCAAATGCCCACCAGCAGTAAAATGGCTAAATATAATTTAGTGTAGAAATGTAAAGAAATAGTATATACTAAAGATTTTTTACAAATCTAATTCTGAATGAAATAGAAATAAATTAATGTATATGACATATATTAATTTATATAAAGTTCAAAATAAACCAAAGTTAGTTTACAATGATATAAGTCAGGACAATGGTTATGTTTGAGGAGGAGGAAGGTCAAGGAGTAAGTTGCAAAGAGAGGTTCAGGGCTATCAGTGATATTCCCTTTCTTGACATGTCATATTTTGACATGCGTGAAAAAACTATGTAAAAAATTAAGAAAACTGCACTCAAAAATTTTGTCTTATTTTTGCATTAATGATATATTTCAATATAGAGATTTTTTAAAAATTAGAACTACCATTTGAATTATATGCCAGACTAAATTTGGGATGAATTAAAATATATGTAAAATAATAAAATCACTAAAAACAAAAGGCAGAAATTATAATCTTATTTTGACTGAGGAAACATTTATGTAATGTATGACATATACATGACCCAATACCTAGGATTCATAAATAATTAAAACTGCAGAAGTGGTAAACTTGTGGGTTGGATAGACTTAAGACATGTGGGAAAGGGACACACACTCTCCACTCTATGCACTTTTATCTTTGTTAAAATACATACCATGATGATGAATTGAATACTACTATTAATAATAATAATAATTTAAAATACCGATTATTTTAAATTTTCTCAATAAAATTAGGTGGATTAATAATCACTACATGAACATAAAATAAACCAAAAAAGCAAACTTGAAAATCACTAAAGTAATATTGCATACCATTTCTTTGTTTTATTGATAGCTAATTCTTTGAAAAATGTATTTGAAGATGTACTAAAGATATGTCTATTGACATTGAATTAACACATTGCTTTGTAGAACACACATGTTGGAAATACTAATGAATCTCAACTAAGTCTTAGTTAAAATCATCTGTCAAGTCAAAGAATACTGAGACAAGATTTTTTCCTAGTAAAAATGACAGCAAAATAAATACGGTGACTGAAGTGAGGCAAATGAAAACATAGATTTTTTTTTATGTATTAGAAATTACTTTTTTGGTTTCATGTTTTCTTCTTTGCACCTGGGGTGCATGCTCCTTTTTGTCATGCCAATCATTTACAGTAGTAGTATTAATAGTAGTATTCAATTCATCAATTGAATAAAAAATCTAAAAAATCTCCCTCGTTTTACGCCTGTAATCCCAGCACTTTTGGAGACCATCCTGGCTAACATGGTGAAACCCCGTCTCTACTAAAAATACAAAAAATTAGCCGGTTGTGGTGGCGGGCGTCTGTAGTCCCAGCTACTCCGGAGGCTAAGGCAGGGGAATGGCATGAACCTGGGAGGCAGAGCTTGCCTTGAACCGAGATGGCACCACTGCACTCCAGCCTGGGCGACAGAGTGAGAGTCCGTCAAAAACAACAACAACAACAACAACAACAACAACAACAAAACTCCTTCGTTTTATCTTTTTATAATCACACACTCACAACATACAAACCCACTCACACACTTGACTCATGACTCATGTCAACCACTGGTCTGTTCTCTGACACTGTAATTTTACCTGTTACAGATCTTACTGTAAATGGAATCATACCTCATGTAACTGAAACCCAGCGCTTCCCTCAATATAATGCTTTAAAAATACATCCAAGTGGTTGGATGTATCAAAAGTTGGCTTGTTTTGATTGCTGAATTATGGCACATTGTCTGAATAGAACTGCCACAAACATTCACAGGTTTTTGTCTGAACAGAATATTTTTTTCCCAGAAACATATGAGTAAGACCGCTTGGTCATATGGTGAGTGAGTGTGTCATCAGTTTTATTCCAAACTGTTTTCCAGAGTGGTTATATTATATTGCATTTTTACCAGGAATACACGCAGGTTCCAGCAGCTCCACAAACTTGTTTGTAGTTGATATTGTCAGCATTTTTATTTTAAACACTAAAATATATATCATAATACTTCACTATGGTTTTAATTTACATTTCCCTAAAGGATAATCAGTTCAAACATCTTTCCACATGCATATTTGTCATCTTTGTTGCCTCCTCAATGGAATGCTAGTTCAAATAGTTTTCCCATTTTTAATAAGATCAGTTCTTTTCTTACTGCTTAGGGTTCTTTACATATATCTGTGTATGTATGAATGTGTATTTACATTCTTTATAAGTTGTAGTTATTAATATATTCAATTGTTAGTTATCTTTTACATTCTCTTAACCATCTTTTGTGGAAACAAAAATTTTAATAATTTGATTTTTTTATTTTACAAATCACACTTCTTCTAAGAATTCTTTGTCTAAACCTAGGTCGCTAAGATTTTCTCCTGCACGTTTCATATGTTAGGCTTTGCATTTATATATGTTGTAATCAGGATTTGCTTCTTTTATATAAAGTTTGAATTTGAGGTATTTAATTTTTTTTGTTTTGTTAGTTTTGGATACATGGGTGTATAATTGTTCCAGAAAACCTCTTGAAAAGACTATTCTTTCTTCATTAAATTGTTTGAGAACTGTTTTGATCATCATTTGGCCATGACTGCATTAATCTATCTTTGGGTTTCACATGCTACTCTGTTGATCTATGTTTCTACCCAATTCACTAATACTGCATTGTTTCAATTTCTGTAACTTTAAGTCAAGTCTTAACATTAAAGTAAATCTTCCCACTTTAAGCCTTTTTAATCAAAATTGCTTTATGTAGTCTAGTTTTTTTTTCTCTCCTTATATGCTTTACACATATATAAAAGTTAGAAACTTAGAATCAGTCTAACATAAATTTTACAAATTTGTTAAAGTTTTATTGAAATCAGTAAACTCATAGGTCAATTTGGATAGAATTCGCATCTTTATGTTCAGTCTGCTAATTCTGGTCATTTTATATCTCCCCATTTATGTAAGACATTTTTTTCTATCATTCGAGTTTTGTAGTTTTACACACAACTGCACATATTTTATCAGACTTATACCCAATAATTTCTGAGTTATTATAAACTTTTATTTTTACTCTCCACTTACTCTTTTCCACTACATAAAAATGTGATTGACTTTGTATCCTAGGACCTTGCAAAAATCATTTTCTATTTTTAAGTGTTTTTTGTTTATTTGTTTGTTTTTATAGATTCCTTGCATTTCTGTATGGAGAATCCTATCGTCTGTGAAAATAGACAGTGTTTTTCTATATGTTCTTAATTTTTATTTTTTTGATTTTTATTTATATATTTATTGTTTCCTGCTTTCTGCTTGCTTTAACTTGATTTTTCCATGCTTTTTCTAATTTTCAAAAGTGGAAGTTTCCATTGTTGATTTGAAACCTCTCTGTTTTTCTAATATAAGCATTTAATGCTATAAGTTTTCCTGCATGCACTGTATTAGCTGAATCCATTGTATTTTGATACGTTGTATTTTCTTTCTATTTTGTTTAAAATTTTTTTTAGTTTTTATTAAAACATTTTCTTTGATTCATGAATTACATAGAAGTGTGTAATTTAATAGTGAAGATTATCGATTTCTCTGTGAATCTCTGTTAGGGAATTATAGCTTAATATTTTTAAACCATAGTTTAATATTTTTAAACCTGTAGGCAGGTCACATCAATGAGTGTTCAGCTCTTAGAGCAGAGGAGACCCCTAGTGGGTAGCTCCTTTCCACAGGCAGGTCATCCCAAGGAGTGTTGGGGAGTCTGGCTGAGTCTGGGGTTTTTACATTCTCAGAATGGAGAAAGTGCATGCTGTTAGTCCTTGGGTGGTCACAGGCAGCCCTGGAGAAAGCACCATCAGATCAGCCAAATGATTATCAATGAAGATCTCACTGCAGGCCACATACTTCACCTGTAACAGGCAGCCCGGCCCTCAGGCTTCAGGCTGTCCCTGGCCTGAATGTGGGCTTTCACTGGGGACCTCCCCCTTCCTGCCTAGGAACCTGTCTGCATCTAGCCAGAAGCCGTCCATGGAACCCAGGCTGTTCATGCCAAGGGGCATCTTTGCTGAGCTGCCTTCAGCCCCCTGGCCTCCCTCCTGTGTTTGTTGATGCTCAAATTCTGGAGGGGGCTGAGATGGCAGCAGACTGGCATGTCAGCACCACCCTGAGTGTGTGCACATCTGGCCAGCACACGAGAGCACCGGGACTTGGCCACAACTTTGCTCCACACTGGAGTGGGCACAAGGAGTGGGGAGAGGCCAGGGAGAGGGAGCAGGCACTTCTAAGCCTGTGGGGGCAGGGAGCTTCCTGGGCCCCCAAGAGTGCCAGGATGCCCTGGTCCAGAGCTGCTGCTGGGTGGCTGCAGCTGTGACTGGGAGTGCGGGGCTCCCACCCTACCAGGTCATTAGGGGTGGGGCTCCACCTTGTTTCTGGCCCCCATTTGGTCCGCAGAGCATGCAGTCCCAGCTGTGCCTCTCCTGCTGCTGCTGGCATCCCCGTAGTGGCTGCTCCAGACAGGCTGCCACCACCATCAGTGAGAGATAACATCCAAAAGAAGGTATTAATTCACAAAGCACATTAAAAATATTTTATATTGAGCTTCAGTATGACATTTTGTTTTATGTATACATTTGTAGAAAGATTCAATCAAGCTAATTAAAATATCCTTCACCTCACCAACTAATTTTACATTGTACTCCATAAATATACACAATTATTATTTGTCAAAAAATAAGTATATACAAAAGGTATAAATATTTTATGTTAACATAATGATTATTTCATAAAAATATACTATAATATTTTACTTGAAATTTAAATCATAAAATTATCATGCATAAGTCAATATTAGGAATAGTGCTTCTATTCCAAAAAAAAAAAACAGCGTGATTTTATTAATTAACTTGTACTTATGTTAGCTATGACAGGTGGAATTCTGGGGAATGAGAAAACATGTTTGACTTCATTAACACAAAAAAAATTGTGAGCGGCTTTCAAAATTATTTCAAGTCCTACATCTTACATTTATGCAGTTTTAAGAATACTCTTCTAAGACTATAATAAACATTCTCATATTCATTCACTGCATAACATGAGGCAGACGTAAGCTCATGAACATTCTCAGCTTCTCAGACTACTTTTTAAAATCTAGTTTTGTTGTAATATTCAAGAAAATCCAGGATTTCCATTTGTTAAATCCTTGTTTTTCTTATAATTTCAAGGTTTTCATTTCAGGGTGACATGTGGGGACACTGGTTAACTAAAGACAATGGCAGATTACAAGGTTCAAATTTTTCAATCTTATCTCACAAAACAATGAAAGCTGTAAGAAAAAAAAAATACCTGGATGGAAATCATGCCTTTGGCATAAACTGAAGACAGAGAATGCCCAAACTTCAAAATAAATGCCAGGTATAAAAGTAAACACTTCAAATCCCAGCAAGCACTCTCTCAGGTTTCTACCCTTCCACAAAACTTCAGGGAAGGCAAACCTAAGATGAAGAACATTGCAACAGGCAATTGATCTCAAACCACTACCAGAAAGAGTAAGTCTGCCCTAAGGCTTAAAATTCTGAAAACACAAAGTTCTTGCAGGTTGTAAAGTAGAACAGTCTTCTAGGAACTCTGATTCTGAGTTCAGACACAAATGTACTACAGCATAAATGAACTGCATCTTTCCCCACAACAAAGACGAACCTGGTAACTTCTTGTCTCAACATTCATTACCTGTTATAGTTTCTATGATTCATTCATTATTTTGAATCTTTTATCATGTAATTACTCTGTTTCAGACAGAACAAGAGAGTAGGAGGAAGTAAAACCTGAAAACGAAAAAGTTAAATATGATAAAACAGATAATTATGCATATGGTTAATTAAAATCATATGATGTGCATGAGTATTCTAGCTGTAAACTTGATCAGTAGTTATTCTGCTTATTCTCTGCCCTCTTAAGCAGAAGTCAAATGCACCCTGTATCAGGGGTCCCCAACCCCCAAGCCACTGGCCTGTTAAGAACTGGGCCACACAGCAGGAGGCGAGCCACTGTCAATTGAATATTACCACCTGAGCCGGACAGATCAGCAGCTGCAATAAATTCTATAGGAGTGTGAAACCTATTGTGAACTGTGCATGTGAGGGACCTAGGTTGCATGCTCCTTACAAGAATCTAATGCCCAATGATCTTAAGTGGAACAGATTCATTTCCCCCACGCACTTCCATCCATGGAAAAATTGTCTTCCCCCTGGTAATAAACACCAACAAATTAGTAATTTGCACTTTCCACATAAATTAATATTGGAAACATGTTATTACAAAACTAACTTCTAAAGAATGAACATTCCAACAATCAATACATGTAAAACAATTTGTGAAGATAAGTAGGGTTATGTCTCAAAGTATACTGAATAGAAACCCACCATACAGAATGTTTTAGAAGGATTAAAGTGGAAAGTGAGTATTTTAAATATTCTATTGTTTAATTTTTACCACTATATTGAAGTATGACATGTTATCTTCTTGATTTCTAATTCAATAAAAGAATAACATATTAAGGCATAAGCTCAATGTCAGACTTTTTATTTTTATCCCCAGAACATTTTTTGGATGAAATACTTCTGTAATAATTTTAGGTAAATTAAAGAATGCTTCATGGAGACTCTAAATTTGTATTATATAAACCTAGAATGTCTTTCCACAATATCATGTGATGTATGATATAATAATTTCAATTTCAGATTTTTTCTGCTTTGTTATACATACATAATCCAAATGCTTATACTGGCTCAATTTGATTATTCAGGACTTTTGTTTAGAGGAGAGGTTATCTGGAGAAATAAAATATGGTAGCATTTTAGGAATAGAAAAGGAAATTAAAGAGCATTAAAACTAGGGAAAATAGCTTTTGTTTACTTAAAGTAATACATATATAATCATGTTCTTAAGTGTCAAAAAATGAAAAATAAATATTTTCTCAGATGCAATGTTTGATTATTTCTTGATATATTTTTATATGCCTAGGAGGTGTCGTGCAAGTACTCTTACATATTGGAAACCATTCTATGATTAAGAAAATAATATCCTATTTTATCATTGAGAAAACTAAGGCAAGGAAGGTAAAGTAGCTTTTTCAGTGCCTCACATTTAATTGTTGATGAATCCAGGAGTCTACTAACAATTTCTGACTCAAGAGCCAGCATTATTAACCACTCACCTACATCACTGATCATTTCAATTATCTTATGTAAGTGATGCAATAAAATAGCACACTACATAAAAGGAGTCAGCAGGTAATATGGCATTGAAATGCATTTTTTCATTTAAATACAATATGTGTTTAATAGCATGCAATAAATTATGACAACATATATTCTATTTATAGACTATTTTAAGAATAACATCTAAAACACACATTTGGAATGTATGCTAGTTTAAGTGAACATTTTTCTAATCAGATTTACTCTGGATTGACCCACAAAACATACCAGATAGTGACAAGTAAACACATTAATAATAAACATCTTATTAATTGTGCAAACATTATGAAATTAAGTTTTTAAATGGTACTGTATTGTCAGAAAGGCCTTTCGTTAATTTTTAGCATTTACAGGGAAACTTAGAAAGAGCATAAATAATCTGTAAACTATCACTGTACATTTCAAATTAGTTTTTATTTATGTCTTTAGGTTTATAAGGAATAAATGTGATGTACTAATAATTTAAACAGTGCTAAACACCAAGTTTGAAACAAATTAAGAATTCAAAAAATATTGCTTGTTGTTTTTAATATTATATGTTGTCTAGTTTAAACATGCCTATGCTATTATTATATAACACAATTCCAAATACTGACAGAATTTTGTTACTTTGTCTTTGCCAATGAACAAGGAAACATTTTACTTTATATTCCAGCAGAAGAGCATTATGCACAACAAACTCTGTGCCCAGAAAAAACCTCCATAGATCTATTCAGCTGATGAAAATTGTTTTGTGAACTGTCTAGGTAATCAACCCTCACGAAACTTTAACGCCACTATTTCCTGAGACGTGGGATGAGATTATTGGGTGAAGGTGCAACACAGTCAGCTGAAGATCCATAGTTCTTTGATGAAAATTGGCTGAGTCTGGGTAGAGAGTAAATTGAAAAAAAATAGGAATAATAGCATTTTGTGGCTTAAGCAAAAAGTTTGAATTTTATGTAATTTTGCTTTACCATTTTACATATACATAGCATCATCATTTTTCAGTGTCATTAAACAAACTGATATGTAATATCACTATAATTCAGTTCTTCACCCTTACTCCCACGTAAGAGGTATAAACACATATAAGGCTCTTGATACCTGTTACCAGAGGGCCAATTAAAATCTGTAAAATCTGTGTGTGAATTATAAATCTTATGACTGAATTCTTAAACATCAGCATTTTAACTAAATAATCTCTATTGAACCATTAAAGTGCACCAAATTTCTGTTTAATATTGCATTCATTTAATTTCTAGTGAAGTTGAATATATTTTTCATGTAAATATAACCAAGTTTATCATTTGGCATTTTTCTATTGAGTGTATTTTTTAATAAGATATGTTACAAACATTTCACTAGTTTTTAATATGATTTTAATTTTATTATATCCTTTTAATGTTCAATAAGGTGAACTAAAGAACAGTATAAAAATATAAAACACTGTTAATAAAATAAAATAATATTTGCATTTTCATATACACAGAATACATGACCAAAGTAATATATGTACACCTTTGGCACTTTTTTGGCTTTTGTTTTCTGTTTGCTTCTAATACATAATTTTTAAAAATAGTATTTTTATTTGGATTATTTAAATTTTATTTCTCTTTACATGCAAAATATATGATGTACATTACTACAATATTTAGCATCTGTTTTAAACTTTGTCTTCAATTTATTTTGCATTTAATTTTATATTTATTACATTTAAGATGTTATAGTTAATATAATTTTGCATTAACTTAATTAAGATGTTTTTCTAAAGCTTTCCCCAATAGTTAGCAGTTTAATAGCATTAGATCTTTGAGAAAGCAAAAAAAATTTCAAGAATATATATTGATAGGGATAAATTAATCTAGATAGTAAAGAGTTTAATTTAACAAAATACATAAGCCTTTTAAAGTTGTTCAAAGATTAATAATTCTTGAGCAATATTTTATAATATATCGATACAGAGTAAAGCAACAAAAGGATTTTGATGGATTATTATTATTGATGCTGGATGGAGAAGGAAAAATGTTTTCTTTTAACAGAAGATAGAAAATGAGACATTGTGTGCTTTTTATTTATGTAATGAAAGCAGTTCATACTCAAGCAGGAGGAATAATCTACATTCAAGTAAACCAATGCTAGCTTTTATGTTTGTGCTCCTTGGATGTTTGCCTACGATATCATATTTCTGTAAAAATCCTCTCATATATATTTTATTGTACAGTGAATTAGTGACTGTTTCACTAATTTAAGATTCCATCTTTTAACGTATTTCTGAATATTTTATGTCACATTCTCTTTCATTGATACGTATATTTATATTTGTTTGGGAAAAAAGCCTTGTAATAGCCTCATGTTGAATTTTTATATCTAGTATTAGAAAATTTTTGTCATGATTGCTTAATAATGGTTTTAATTATTTTAATCCTGGAAATTATTTTAAAAATATACCACCTTAAATAAAACATAAACAAACAGTACATTCCATTTTGTAACACCTCATCTTTGTCATTATGGTTATACAATTAAATTCTACATATATTCTAAACTTACACGTCTGTGCTATTATTTAACTTTAAACTGTGTTATATTTTAAAGCAGACAAAATTTAGGGGAAAAGAACTGTTTTTTATCTTTAGTACACATTGAGTGTTTCTGATATTCTTAATTTCATTTTACAAATCTGACTTTCTATTGAGACTAGTTTTCCTTTACTCTCAATGTTTCCTTTAAAATTTCTTATTATTTAGGTCTGTTGTTAACAATTTCTTTAAGCTCCTACATGTGTGACACTACTTTGTCATATTCGTTGGGTATAGAATTTTAGATTCGAGGTTTTTAATTATAGATTTTCAAATATCCTTTCACTTTGTTATATCTTATATTATTTCGAAGGAGACATCTGTAATTGTGTTTATCTTAGTTCCATTGAATGCATTTGAAGTTTTTTTTTTTTCTTTTTTCTTTTTTTTTTTTTTTTTTGAGACTGAGTCTCGCTCTGTGCCAGGCAGGAGTGCAGTGCTGTGATCTTGGCTCACTGTCATCTCTGCCTCCTGGGTTAAAGCAATTCTCCTGCCTCAGCCTCCCCAGCAGCTGGATTACAGGCACGTGCCACCACACCCAGCTAATTTTTGTATTTTTAGTAGAGACAGGTTTCACCATGTTGACCAGGGTGGTCTCAGTCTCCTGACTTCCTGATCCACCAGCCTTGGCATCCCAAAGAGCTGGGGTTACAGGCGTGAGCCACTGCGCCTGGTCTGAAGTTTTTTTCTTCTGGCAGCTTTTATTAATTTTTTCTGCATCACTTGTTTACAGAAATTTGCCACTTTGAGGGATGTGTGTGTGTATGTGAATGAATTTGCAGATTTTTCTTTTGCTTTATTGATTGCTGTGTTTATAATTTCCATTAAATTTTCCAAAAAGTGGCAATGTATCTTTAAATATTTTTCTAAATCCAAATTTTCCATTTATTTCTGGGAGTGCAACTACAGATAGATTACAATGCTTAATATTATCTCATTTGTTCTCTGACGCTATGTTCAATTTATTTTCAATTTTTTTTCTCTCTGTCCTTCAATTGGATGGTTTCTATGATTTTTCTTTAAGTTCACTTAACTTTTCTCTGCACTGTCACATATTTTGTTAAGTCCATCCAGTTAATTTTTTCCAGACATTTTATTCTTCTGTCTTGGAATTTTTACTGGGTTCTGCTGTGTAATTTCTATTTCTCTTCTTCTGTTTATATTTTATTTTAAATCCCAGAACTTCCATCCATCAGCCTGTCTGATTATTCATCTGTCATCCCCTCTATCAAATTGATATCTTAAAGTTGTTACTTGCTAATTCCATCATTTATGTCATTTCTGGGTCTATTTCTAATGACTAAATGTCCTATTGGTTATAGATCCCATTTTCCTGGTTCTTCACTCATCTAGAAATCTCTCCTGGATATAGTGCATTGCAAACATTAACTTTGTCCAACTTTTGCACTATTTCTTTCAAATAATGTGGACATTTTATAAGCATGTAGTTAATTTATGTGTACATTCGTCTGTACTGTTGTAGTTTATTTTTAAACTTCATTTAAGTTTTGTTAGTAGCGTTCTCTAGAGATAGTGGACTCCAACTTGTAATGTGAGGCCTTTCTGGCCTTCCTCTCTAGAATGCCCTGTGTTTTTAATGACATGTGTCCACTCTGGTTGTTTGGGACTTGAACATGTCCTGTGCTGCTCATTGCTTAGCATATAGCTCTATAGTACATTTTCTTTTAATAGAAGTTGTTTATTGCCCTTTTAACAGAGACCCAGTGTATTACTCAGGGTTCTTCAGAGAGACAGAACTAATAGCATATATGTATAAATAAAGGGGAGTTTTTTAAGGAGTATCATTCACAGGACCACAGGGTGAAGTCCCACAATAGGCCTCTGCAAACTGAGGATCAAGGAAGCCAGTTCGAGTCCCAAAACCTTAAAAGTAGGTAAGCCGACAATGCAGACTTCAGTCTGTGGCTGAAAGCCCGAGAGCCCCTGGCAAATCACTGGTGTAAGTCCAAAAGTCCAAAAGCTGAAGAACTTGGAGTCTGATGTTCGAAGGCAGAAGGCATCCAGCAAGGGAAAAAGATCTGAAGGCTGGAAGACTCAGCAAGTCTGCTTTTTTCTAGCAAAATTGGCAGCTGATTAGATTGTGCCCACCCAGATGAAGGGTGGGTCTGCCTCTCCCAGTCCACTAACTCAAATGTTAACCTCCTTTGGCAACACCCTCACAGACACACCCAGGAACAATACTTTGCATCTTTCAACCCAATCAAGATGACACTCAACAGTAACCATCACACTCAGTTTCAGCATACACAACTTGCTATTCAACAAAAGACCCAAGGAGATCTCTATGCAGATTTCTAGAACTATGTATCTGTTTCATCTCTTCCCATCCGGCATTTCCGCCCCCCATACACAAGGAAACTAAGCATCTCTAAATGTAGATCTCTGTCTTTCCAACTAAGTGAGAGTACAACTACCTTCTTGGGTCCCTCTTCCTAAGCTGGTATTCAGGAAATTCATGAATTATAAAGGTGGTACAATTATGCCCCTCACCTCATTTGTGCCTGTTCTCTCAGTTCTTATCACCTGTTGTCACTATTTGAAATTGTCATTTTGTCTAATTTTTCTAGTATCCTAGTTATTTATGATAGGAGTACTAGTTAACAGTCCTAATGTGTAGATCAGACTACTCTGCATTGCCAGAAAAAAAAAAAAACTATATGGCTAGGGCACTCATATTTATTTAGAGAAAATTTATAAATGACTATTTCTAGACTTCCTAATCTGTAATATTATCTTTTTCTTTACTGCTTTAAGGGATTATTTAGACGTTTTCAACATTCTAAATAACCCCTAAAAATGTATTTCAAATTAATTCTCATTTGTAGCAAATCCTCATAGCGGGTATGTATGGCATTCTTCTAACAATATATTGTATTTAAAAAGTAATGGATTTTTGCATACTTACTTACCATTATTGAATACTTTATAAGCTTAATAATGTTGAGTTGTTTCTTCTTTTTGTTTTAAGTGGTTAAATATAAAATCTGATTATGAAGGAAATTTTATTGCTTCTGTTAGGAAAGTTATTGTTGTCATTAAATTATAATCTTCATTATTTCATTGGTTATAATTTTTATAATAAACTTACATAAGAGTGATAATGTTAGAAATTCTGTTTTATTTCTCATATTAGCAAACATGTTGGACTTTAACTGTGTTTTTTCTGAATAATAAATCTTTTAGACATTCAACATCTTTTGAGTACATATTGGCAATTGATATATTCTTTGATTATAATTCATTTAAATGTAAACTTATTGGTTCAGCCTGTGTCTACATATGTAGGCTAATAAAACAAAACTATATAATATGGTTTTATTACTATATAATAAAGTCTTTAGGTATATATATCCAATAACCTAAATAAGTTTAGCTATTTTCTTTGAACTACCTTCCCCATATTACTTTTAGTCTTGAGATTTTGATTAGCCTTTGATATCTGATATCAACTCAAACTCATACTTCAGGGCCTTTCTTGATGGAAACACTCCCTAATCCCCACACCAAGGAGCTTTGATAACCTAACACATACTTTTATAATACCCTCTAGCTTTCCTTCAGAATAATGGGTAACATTAAAAATAGTTATTTTTGTATTAATATTGGCTTTATGTCTGCTTCTATGATGGCTCCAGGTTATTCATGAATAATTCTGACTTATTCTCAGTCTCATGTATAATATTTGACTCACATTCAGTAGACAAAATATATATGTTGAATGATCAATTGAACGCTATACACATATTTTCTTTCCCTAAGTTGATTTTTTTTGTTTTCTTTTTCATTTTTGAGAAGGTAAATACTTTTAATTATCAGTAATGAGTAAATAAAGAGAAAGATGTATTCATAGCATCTTATTATTAACTATTGGCTTTCTGTTTTATAGTATTTAAATATTATATATATTTAATTTTTTGTTTTGATTACAGCATATGCTGTGTATTATATAGGTCAGATAAGGCAACTGCATTAAAGTTAAACACCAGCCTCTACACAATCCTATTTCACTCACTCACAGACAGAGGCTGTTCTTGAGTGTACTCCCTAATGTTTATGTAAATCTCTGCCTCAGAAGTCGTTTCTCAAAGATGTAAGCCATCATATAATACATATTATTTTCTTTTGTAAGGTATACATGTACATAATTTTTAAAAAATCTTGTGATAAGATTTCCTAAATTTTTTTCTAGATAAATTTGATATTGTTAGCATGAATTAAGTAACTTTATAAGTTCCGAAGACCATAAATGAAAGCAATTAATTTCAGAAAATGAGACTTATACCTGAAGTCAATTATTATTCTTGTTTAGACCTGGTGAAGGTAGTTGTTAGCAGTTAGCTTCAAAGGTTAATGTAATATCAATCAATATAAACCTAATACAGTGAATCAGAATTGTCATAGGAATGGTGAATTTGTGCCAGCAAAACAGAAAGTACTTTAAAAATTACTTCTGGACATAATTAACAAATTTTATTCCAAGAATATGGTTCACACTTTCTTGTTTCTTTGCATGCCTCATAATTCACAGCAAAAAAATTGAACATTTAATATATTGTTGACACTCTGGGCACTTCCACTGTCCCTTCCGCAATGTGCTCTTGTTGTTGGCTTGTTTATTTTATAGGAGTGCCTGGCTTATTTTACTAAATTCTTTCACCCCAGACATTGGTAAGCCTCTATTCTTCCCCAGGAGGCACAGGTTCTTCTTTCCCTGACCAAATCCAGCTGTTAAATTCCACTAATTGCTGGCTGATTGATGTGTGTTCTCCACAGTTCCCTAGGGCATAAACTGTTCTACAGTATTACTGTATCAAACTGTAATTCTTTTGAAGGGATAGTTTTGGAAATCCATGTTTGATATTTGTTCCGAGTTCAAGAGAATGATTTCCTGGTGGTTCCTCCTGTAAACTAGCTGACCTAGAGTCTATGCTTTATCTTCATTAAATTCACATATTTCCTCCCATTTTCCTTTTATTACAACTTTCACTGTTCTTGAGAATTACCTTAAGCTTGAACTTCCTCATGCTATATTGTAAGTAAAGTGAGTTTCTTAGAAAAGAGATTGGGAGTTACATGTGTTTTGACTCAAATATCCTCCCATGCAAAACAAAACAAATCAAAAGATATACATATGTGTGTGTGTGTGTGTGTGTATATATATACACACACACGGATAACTAAAAATAAGTATCATTGATAAAGCAAAATAAAGAAGGGGAAATGAAACACAAAAATTAAACTGAGATTAGTACTAGGAAATAAACATTTGTAACACTTATGTTTTGCTACTCACAGGCACAAGATGACACCAGGATGTATGTATTGGATAAAAAATATATATATACACACATATGTATACACACACATATACACATACACATATAAAATACACACACACATGCACACACGTATATATGCTGTTACAGATATTTTATCCCTCATTTCTCGGGGAAGTAAATAAATAAAGTACTGCAAATAAAATAGGGAATTTTAAGAATATAAAAAAATAAAATAATAAAAAATAAAAAAATCCCAATTTTTACAGTGCTTTTATTAAGAAGGGCGTATTTTCCATTACTGTGCCTTATAATTACCTTAGAAATTGGCAATTATTTAGAAATCATTCATTTCTAAATGAATGAGAAATTTCAAATAAGAAAACAGTCCTAGATTAAACCTAGATGCAAAGCAAAACTAGGAATTCTTGTTAAGGGAGAGAATGCTAGTGATGGGTAAAAGTTGGGAAGAAGATTTGAGGAATTACCTTAAACACGCTTTTTACACCAAAGAAACCTAGACACGCTATTAGGCTACAACTGGCCCTAAACAATGTTTCTGAAATATAATGCCTTCAAATGTATTCAAGCTGTCATTCTTTCATTTGAATACTATTAAAGTCATGGCATTTAATTTTCCTAACTTTATAAAAAGTAATGAAATTAATGACATTCTGTGTTTTATCTTCTCCCATCTTCACCTCTATCATAGTTCACATAATCATTTTCTAAATAGCACTCTCTATTTCTGTTGATTGCTCTCTCAATTAATTAACTTTTCCTGTGATTTTAAATATTAGTTCTCTATGCTTCTTTAGTAATTTTATGCTCCATTTTCTCAATTAGTAGTTATAGCTACGAGCAATATGCCATCATGAAGAGGGTTCAAAGGTTATAGATTATGATTTTCTTTAAATGTGAAATAACTGTTTAGATGGTATTTGCATGGTAAAAATGAAAGAGAGAGACAGATTTACTGTAAACTTTTCTTCTTTGTATCTTCCTTCAGATTTCTAGCAGATTGAATTATGTTAATATGACAAATATTTTCAAGTACAAAATGCCTTTGAGGAAACAAGAAGCAGTTGATAACTTAAAAAGTCAATCTGAGATTTACTTTTTAACAAATGTCAGCAGTTACAGAACTGGAGTGATGAGCTTATTTATATTCTTTCTCAGAGTCTTAATTTGTTAATCTGATATGAACTTAACTATATAGTTTAGAATAAAACTATTTGTTCTATTAATTTTTGTAGAACTACTTTATACTTTTTTTCAAATTATTTTTTAAAGTCTTTGAAAGTGACTTTACAAATATTGTGCTTTGTGAGGAAAATATCTTTTGTTGAAAATAACAAATAGCTCATTAAGTCTGTGGTAAAGTTGAAATATTGACTAGAACTAAGAACCAGAAATTTTAGGAAAAATTCATTATAATAAATAAACACCAATCATTTTCAAAGTTTACTTTCCAAAAAACACCATTGAATTGGCCTAGTTTTTAATTATACTTCTTTCCTATGTTCAGAAATAAAAGTAAATAGAACTTAACTTCTACCAGGATATACACAATAGGGTGAAAAGTATTTCCTTAAATGAAAAGAAATTTAAAAATTATTATCAAAAAATATTTAGAGCTTGTAAAACAATTCACCAACATTGAAACTCTTTTACTTCCAAATAGTCTTTCAAAAGATTATGTCGGATAAATTTGACTAATTATTTATTATCTTGGTAGCTGTAGCAGGCAGTTTACATAATAATATATGCAGCAGAAATAGCCTCCGAAATTCAGCAGAAAATAACTTCATATATTATTGTTGAGTTAACAAAAATACCAGTCAACTTGTTAAAAAAAAAAATCCCTCAGATGTGATTTGACAGAATTACAGTCATTTTACCAAGGAACGAGTCTGATGAAGACACAATTACCATTGATGCTGGGCCCTGTGTCTACCTTGGTGATTCTATCACTTGATTTGAATGTGGATACTTTTAGAAGTCCCAGTGCTACTACGTCATATCAAAATGATAAGAGTAAAATTAAAAAATAGATAAATTAGATTACATCAAAATTAAAATTTTTGTGCTGTAAGTAATATCAAAAAAGTAAAATGACCACCAATATTTGGGATATTTTCAAGTCATATGTCTTATAAGGGGCTTAGATCTAGACTATATAAAGGAAACTAATGACTCAATGATAAAAACACAGGCTGATTTTAAAAATGGACAAATAATTTTATTCCAATATTTCTCCAAAGAAAATATGCCAAAGGCCAGCAAGCACATGAGAAGATGCACATTATCATTAGTCATTCATGGAATAAAAATTAAAACCACAATACAATGCTACTACATATAAAATTAGATAGTAAAAATCAGAAGACAGAATATAACAAGTGGTGGTGATAATGTGACTACATTGGAACAATCATCCATTGCTAGTGGAATGTGAACTATTACAACCAATTTGGAAAATAGTTTGACAGTTTTCAAACAATTTAAACATAGATTTATAATATGATCCAGTAATTCAACTTCTAATTACATACCCAAAAGAAATGAAAACCACAAAAATCCAGAAAATATCTTGTACATGTTTATATCAGCATTACTCATAACCACATAAAAGTGAAAAATTTCAAAATGTCCATAAATTGGTGAATAAATCAATAAAATGTAGTTTAGCCATGCAATGGAAGGTTACTCAGCAATAAAAAGGAATGAAGTGTTGTACCTTCTATAATATGCATGAACTATGAAACATCATTCTAAATGCAAATAGCCAGTCTCAAATGATGACATATTGTATGACTCCATTTGTACAAAATGTCTAGAATAGCCAAATCTATAGTAAAACAAAGTAGATTAGTGGTTGCCTATATGTGAGGAGGAGAGAGATAGAGAGTGATTGCTAATGGGTAGATTAGACGTGATGAATATGTTCTAAAATTAGGTTTTGTGATAATGGTACAACTATGAGTATTCCAAGGAAGCATTGAATTGTACAATTTGAGTGAATATTATGGTTTTGTATCTCAATAATATAAAATATTATATCAAAATGAAGCTGCTAAAACATGTAGTTCATGAAAAAAATGTGTGATTTGGGGTACTATATAAAATTGTATTGTATGACTAGGTAATGTATGATGGGTTAAACTTTTTCTTTAATCTCAGTCATAAGTAAATGGTGAAATAAAGTTTGTCGGTTTATTAACAGAAGTAAATGAAAATTAACTTACGTAGACCATGTTATCTGGATATACATTCAAAATTTCTCCATCTTTCTAATGTATTGACTTTTTAATCCTTAAAAAAGTCCTGCTTTTACTTTGAAGACATTCTATACATTAAGTATACATTGTTTGGTATAAGTTTAGTCATTCCAGCTCTCTATTGGTTACTGATTACTTGGTATATGGTTTCCAATTTCTTTACTTTAAAACTATTCGGGTATTTTAATTTGAAATATATCACAGGTAGAGGGCAGACAGTATATCATTGAATCTTGTTTTTATTTTATTCCAATCTTACAATCTTTGCCTTTGAACATCATGTGTTTGTAATTTCTGTTTAATGTAACTACTAATATAGTTGAATTTATGTCTGATATATGGATGTGATATATATATATATGTATACATGTATATCTATATATCTCTCACATATGTATATGCATATATATACACATGCTGCCAGCACAAAGAAGCACTGGATCCTTTTAAGTTAAACAAATATTATATTATATCCTGTCTCTATCTCCCATTCCTATTTTCTCTCTCTTGCTCTATTATATGTGTATATATAGTATATAAAGCTTGACACACTACACGAGTTAATATTGCAAAGCTACTTTCATATAAATGACATACTTTTATAGTTTATATAAATATTTATATAGTTCAGATATTACATATTTATAGGAGTATTTTATAATTTACATTATGTATTTTATAAAAAGTTCAGATATTTATATAAATACATGTGTATCTCAACATATATATAGTTTTATAGTCTCCTATCTGCCAACATGTATATGCCATTTCTAGTACTCTTGACTCCTTGTGGATTCCAGTAAAAATCTGTTTTCTACAAACAACTATTCTTTTATTCTTCCACAAATTTCCTACACCCAGGGTACTGCATTTCTTGTCACTTTGTTTGTAAATTACACTTTAAGTTCTGGAATACATGTGCAGAACATGCAGGTTTGTAACATATGTATACACAGGCCATGGTGGTTTGCTGCACCCATCAACCCGTCATCTACATTAGGTATTTCTCCTAATGCTATCCTTTCCATTGCCTCCCACCCCCTGACAAGACCCGGTGTGTGATGTTCCCCTGCCTGTGTCCATGTTTTCTCATTGTTCGACTCCCATTTATGAGTGAGAACATGTGGCATTTGGTTCTCTGTTCCTGCGTTAGTTTGCTGAGAATGATGGTTTCCACCTTCATCCATGTCACTGAAAAGGACATGAACTCATTATTTTTTATAGCTGCATAGTATTCCATGGTGTATATGTGACACATTTTCGTTATACAGTCTATCATTGATGGGCATTTGGGTTGGTTCCATGTCTTTGCTATTGTGAACACTGCAACAGAAAACATATGTGTGTGTATGTCTTTATAGTAGAATGATTTATAATCCTTTGGGTATGTACTCAGCAATGAGATCGCTAGGTCAAATGGTATTTCTGGTTCTCGATCCTTGAGGAATCGCCACACTGTCTTCCACAATAGTTGAACTAATTTATACTCCCACCAACAGTGTAAAAGCGTTCCTATTTCTCCACGTCCTCTCCAGCATCTGTTGTTTCCTGACTTCTTAATGATCGCCATTCTAACTGACATGAGATCATATCTCGTGATTTTGATTTGCATTTCTCTAATGACCAGTAATGATGAGCTTTTTTTCATATGTTTGTTGGCCATATAAATGTCTTCTTTTGAGAAGTGTCTGTTCATATCCCTCATCCACTTTTTGATCGGTTGTTTTTTCTTGTAAATTTAAGTTACTTGTAGATTCTGGATATTAGCCCCTTGTCAGATGGATAGATTGCAAAAATTTTCTTCCATTCTCTAGGTTGCCTGTTCACTCTGATGATAGTTTCATTTGCTGTGCAGAAGCTCTTTAGTTTAATTAGATCCCATTTGTCAATTTTGACTTTTGTTGCCATTGCTTTTGGTGTTTTAGTCATGAAGTCTTTGCCCATGCCTATGTCTTGAATGGTATTGCCCAGGTTTTCTTCTAAGGTTTTTATGGTTTTAGGTCTTACATTGAAGTCTTTAATCTACCTTTAGTAAATTTTTGTGTAATGAAGGGGTCCAGTTTCAGTTTTCTGCATGTGGCTAGCCAGTTTTTGAACACCATTTATTAAATAGGGAATCCTTTCCCTATTGCTTGTTTTTGTCAGGTTTGTCAAAGATCAGATGGTTGTAGACGTGTGGCATTTTTTCTGAGACCTCTGTTCTGTTCCATTGGTCTATATATCGGTTTTGGTACCACTACCATGCTGTTTTGGTACCAGTACCATGCTGTTTTGGTTACTGTAGCCTTGCAGTATAGTTTGAAGTCAGGTCCCGTGATGCCTCCAGCTTTGTCCTTTTTGCTTAGGATTGTCTTTGCTATAGGGGCTCTTTTTTGGTTCCATATAAAATTTAAAGTAGTTTTGTTTTCTAATTCTGTGAAGAAAGTCAATGGTAGCTTGATGGTAGCTATCCAGCTTTGAATCTATAAATTATTTTGGGCAGTATGGCCATTTTCATCATATTGATTCTTCCTACCCATGAGCATGGAATGTTTTTTTCCATTTGTTTGTGTCCTCTCTTATTTCCTTGAGCAGTGGTTTGTAGTTCTCCTTGAAGAGGTCCTTCACATCTCTTGTAAGTTGTATTTCCTAGGTATTTGATTCTCTATGTAGCAATTGTGAATGGGAGTCCACTCATGATTTGGCTCTCTGTTTGTCTATTATTGTTGTATAGGAATGCTTGTGATTTTTGCACATCTAGTTTGTATCCTGAGACTTGGCTGAAGTTGCTTATTAGCATAAGGAGATTTTGGGCTGAGACGATGGGGTTTTCTAAATATACAATCATGTAAACTGCAAACATAAACAATTTGAATTCCTCTCTTCCTATTTGAATACACTTTATTTCTCTCTCTTGCCTGATTGCCCTGGCCAGAACTTCCAATACTATGTTGACTAGGAGTGGTGAGAGAGGGCATCCTTGTCTTGTGCTGATTTTCAAAGGGAATGCTTCCAGCTCTTGCCCATTCAGTATGATATTGGTTGTGGGTTTGTCATGAATAGCACTTATTATTCTGAGATACATTTCATCGATACCTAGTTTATTGAGAGTTTTTAGCATGAAGGGGTGTTGAATTTTATTCAAGGCCCTTTCTTCAAATAGACCAATAACAAGTTATGAAATTGAGGCATTAATTAACAGCCTACCAACCAAAAAAGCCCAGAACCAGACAGATTCACAGCCGAATTCTAACAGAGGTACAAAGAGGAGCTGGTACCATTCCTTCTGAAACTATTCCAAACAGTAGAAAAAGAGGGACTCCTCCCTAACTCATTTTATGAGGCCAGCATCATCCTGATACCAAAACCTGGCAGAGACACAACAAAAAAAGAAAATTTCAGGCCAATATCCCTGATGAACATCCATGTGAAAGTCCTCAATAAAATACTTGCAAACCAAATCCAGCAGCACAATAAAAGCTTATTGACCACAATCAAGTTGGCTTCATCCCTGGGATGCAAGGCTGGTTCAACATACGCAAATCAATAGACGTAATCCATCACATAAACAGAACCAATGACAAAAACCCTTGGAACTTTTTATTTGTATTTGCTTTTATTTATTTGACCTTTCAAGTTGCAATGCAGAAGAATTTGTCATTCTTTAATATTTCTGTGTGCACTTTAAACCTCAGACCAAATATGTTTTATTTATCAAAACCAACAAAATGCTCTACGGTGAAATTAGTCTTATAGTTTATTTACATCTACATGGTATTACTTACTTTGTCTTCCAGGTGTGTGTACAATACTACTTCCTTGAAGGCAGGAAAATGCTTTGGCTCTCTTATTTGTGGACTTTGTATATCAGAAAGAATCAGTACAGCACGTTGTAAATAAAGAAGTTCAATTACTTTACAGAATTGAATTCAGCAAATTAATACCATTATTATTTAACAAACCTAGTTATATTACCTCACACTTAATCAATGTTATTTATGGCATTATCAATGTGAATTTGATACAGAGGAGGAAGATGAGCCAGACATGATTAGCTATTCAAACAGACAAGACTAATGAGTCATAGTCCTTTTCACTAAGTTTGTAAAATCTGCATAAACATATAATGCCACACAAAGATTGAAGGACTGTGCTCGATGTATTCAAAGGGGACTTGGGACACTCAAGGAATAAGTTTTCATTTCCATTGGTAGATGGAAAAGCCATAAAACTTCTTAACAGGAGGATTTTTGAACGATGAGAAGGACATTCCTGCTACAGTAAGAAAAAGCACCAAAGAATAAAATAGCATGATGTGTTTGACGTGCTTTATGTTGATTATTATGGCTGCAGCCCAAATTGCAAGGAGCTAAACAAGTAACTTATGAAGAACCTTGCTCACTGTGCTACAGAGGGTTTGTTCTGCTGTAATTTTAGTGACCTGATTTGATTTCCCTTTTATTAAATAAAAGTCTCCATTTGGAAACTATTAAAATAATATAGGTAAAAGTTGAAAGATGATATTTTACAAATGGGATTCTTTGTGGTAACATCATGATAGACATGAGATAGAGTATGACAAACTTTTAGGAATTATAGTAGAGATGAAACATTACTAAATGTATGTGAACTAAAAGAAAAGCAAAGTAAAAATAAAAGAAAATAAGTGCATTCTGAACTCCTGGCAAAGTTAGATCAGTCAAGGATGAACTTCCTCATAGAGATAGAAAACAAAGTATGATGATTAAATTGAAAGGCAATTGTATAAGCAAAATATTGTTGGGGTTGAATTTGAGATTATTATATGCATAAAATTGATTTGCTGCATAAATTTAAGTAAAATTAGCATACAGATAGTGGTGTGAGAAACAATGACCAGAAGAGTGAATAATCATACCCAGTATAAAAATGCTTAGTATTTGTTGAGCATTTATTTTTTATTTATTTATTTTTTAAATGGAGTCTCGCTCTGTCGCGCAGGCTGGAGTGCACGATCTCGGCTCATTGCAACCTCCGCCTCCCCAGTTCACGCCATTCTCCTGCCTCAGCCTCCGGGAGCAGCTGGGACTACAGGCGCCCGCCGCCACACCTGGCTAATTTTTTGTATTTTTAGTGTAGATGGGGTTTCACCGTGTTGGCCAGGATGGTTTCGATCTCCTGACCTTGTGATCCGCCCGCCTCGGCCTCCCAAAGTGCTGGGATTACAGGCGTGAGCCACTGCGCCCGGCCTTGTTGAGCATTTATTAACTGTCTTTGTATTTTACATGTATTAACAAATCTAACACACTAAACATAAAAGGAAATTAAGACACGGACATTTTAAACCACTTATCCAATTTCACAAAACTAGTACCTATGCTTTTAATCACTGTCGTGTATTACCTCTGAAATAGAAATAATCATAAAGAAAGTAGCATTCAACTGTTATCAAATGAAGTTGCAAGAGAGAACTATATTTTACAATTAATTTACAATCTTGGAAAGATATTTTTAAATGTAGTCAGAAGCGAGTTTGGTTTGGCAGAGTAAATTGATGGTGCCTTATGGTGACATACGTGAGCTGCATTTTTTTTTTTTTTTGCACAGTTGTGTAGCAGTGAAAAAAGAGACTTAGTGTGTAGAGGCTCAGAGTTTAACACAAAGACTATTAAGATAGGAGAGATTAAAATGCTGTGAGATTATGGGAAATTAATTAGTAGACAGAGATTGAATGTATGTGAGAAAGAGGAAAAAATTCCTAGTCCTGAAGAAATTGAAGCAGCTGGAATAGAAATCAGAAGTGAAGGGATTAGTGTTAAGCTACAGGAAATAAAATCACTTTCTCTGAGTAATAAAAAGAAATAAGTACATGTAGAAGTACTTTGGGATTCGGTTTTACTTTTTGGTTTGGGGAAGGCAGTTTAACAGATCTGTTGGCTAAATTGACTATTTCATCTTTTTTTCTTGGTCAATGCTGTAATTTAATATAATAGTTTTAGAAACAATTGGCAGTGAGCCCCCCATCTTATTTGAGTGCAATGTGAGTACATAAGTTTCTTTATATGTAGTAGCCATAAAATCCACCTGTCACTGTTTTTTTGTTTAAAGAAATTATAAAGCAATTATTAGAGTTTTTTTCCAAAGGCATGACTCCTTACTGATGATGATGAAGTGATAAAAGCAGATAAAAAAATTATACTACAAACTCAATTTCTTTTACATTTTTGTGAAAATATTAACTCATAACACATAGATGTGTGTGTGTGTGGGTGGGTGGGTTGGTATTATATATATATATATATATATGGAAAATTGATTATATGAATTGAATCATTCTTGTCCTATCCAACTAAATCAGAGAATCAGGGTCAAGGAGCCGGGAGAAAATCATTCAGAGCACATAGCATCTGCTCCAAGAGTTAAATACTCTACAAGTTCAGCTGCTAAAATCATCTGCTGTAATCCTAAGACCAGTTTTACCTGCCAGTATCACTCACCAATCAAAGCCTGCAAGCTCCCAAAATCTTCTCTGGTGCCAAGAAACTTACTTCCACAACAAAACTTAGTATTTCTCTTACCATTTGACCCAGCCATCCCATTACTGGGTATATACCCAAAGGACTATAAATCATGCTGCTATAAAGACACATGCACACATATGTTTATTGCAGCACTATTCACAATAGGAAAGACTTGGAACCAACCCAAATGTCCAACAATGATAGACTGGATTAAGAAAATGTGGCACATATACACCATGGAATACTATGCAGCCATAAAAATGATGAGCTCATGTCCTTTGTAGGGACATGGATGAAATTGGAAATCATCATTCTCAGTAAACTATCGCAAGGACAAAAAACCAAACACCGCATATTCTCACTCATAGGTGGGAATTGAACAATGAGAACACATGGACACCGGAAGGGGAACATCACACTCTGGGGACTGTTGTGGGGTAGGGGGAGGGGGGAGGGATAGCATTAGGAGATATACCTAATGCTAAATGACTAGTTAATGGGTGCAGCACACCAGCATGGCACATGTATACATAAGTAACTAACCTGCACATTGTGCACATGTACCCTAAAACTTAAAGTATAATAATAATAAATAAAAATAAAATAAAATAAAAAAACTTACTATTTCTCTACTAATAAACCTCCCAAACTTCCCTTTGTGCTTTGGACATACCGAAGACCACACATCCTTTGTGTATGCCTCAAACTGCAATTCTTACTTCCAAAATAAAACATTTTAAATTTAGATATTTATCTCTATATTGTATTTGATTTTGACAGTGTATGTTCAGATATACATATAGTTGAACGTCCTATAAATTTGATATAAAATTTAGTAAAAGAAAAAATAACTTTATAAATTTATATACACTTAAAAATAGCATATCTTTACTTAACATTTTAAGTTACTTTTAAGATGCAATTTTATTCTTACATATGATTATCGTATTAATTTGAAACAGATTCACACACAACTGACTCACACAGAATCAGAGAGATTATGTGCTTATTTTACCCATTGTATTGCTGATGTGGCCATATTTAATATAAAATTCATTTAAATCATAAAGAGACACATCTAATACTTGAATGAGTATATAATTTATCAATAGCACCAACATAATGCATAATTATTATTGTATATGTTTACCATGAATTATATTATTGGTAACCATTACATATAAAAAGTTAAACTTTATACTCTTATATTAATGTATTTTAAACACAATATTTATTTCTTCTGTAGTAAAACACTTGTAGCATGTAGAAAATAATCAGCATAAACATTTAGGTGTAAAATATATACATAAGCAACATTTTTTTGGCTGCCACTACATAAACTGCACTAAAATAATTAATAATGATTTTATTATTTTCTTAAAAATATTAGATGCATATTCTTATTTAATTTATAAACTTACCTCACCAAGTCATATTATAATCTATCCCCATTTTACATATGAGGAAACCAGGGTAGCTAGGTACTATGCTAGGAATTTACAATAGCATAGGAAAAATGCAAAAGCATTATTTGCCTTCATGGAGCATCTATTCTAGCAAGAAAGACAAACACCAATCATGTGAAGAAACAAATGAATTAAAAATTACTAGATAAACAATAACAAAAACAGAGGTGGAGAAAACAGTCCTAAAGGATTGACAGCAACAGTGAGTTGCTTATATATATAAGGAGTTACTTATAAAAACAACCAGAAATAATTTCTTTAAGTATAAAGGAATAACAAGTACAAAAGTTTTGAGTAGAGGGAACAATCCTAGTAATTCTAGTAATTCATAGAATAACAAAGGCTAGAATTCTGTGAGTGTGTGTAACATAATGAAGCTGGAAGGATAAACAAAAGCTATATCTCTTGATCACTTATAACCTGATCACTTATAAGCCTGATCACTTATAACCTTGATAGCCACGAGCACGGAGGATTGAAATTGAGCATTTCTTCCTGTGCTGGGCTGTTACTTTGTACATGCGTACGAGTTCAGAGAGCATTTTCATCTTCTACTTATTCTTCTCTTTCACAGTACTTTGAGCTATTCAGGAATAGGGCCTCCTCTTTATTTATCCACAAATCAGGCCTAATACTGGTGAATTTTTAAACCACAATAACTTAAATGAATGATTTCAACTGTAGAAGATTTAATAATGGCTGTTTCCACTCACTAATGTATATGAATTACAATCAGACACACAGAAAATTTGTAACATCATTTTAAAATTCTGTATCAATTGCTACTCTCCATAAATCATTTTTAGAGTAAATGTAATCTTCGGCCATAAATTTCATATAGTAAGTGTACCATGCCTTTTCATTAAACGAGTAGTGTAATATAATGGGCAACCAATCTGTTTAACATCTTTTTAAAAACATCAAATATTTATTTAAAAATACTACCAAAAATCTTACATAATATTTGATTGTATTGTTTGCATTATCATTTTCTTCAGATATTAAAAGATGTATATTTAAAAATTGTTACATTCATATGGGCCCTTTTGTCTGATAACATATAATACCACTGAAAATTTTTCATAAGGCATTGAGCTTAATATGACTAATTTATGTCTTGCTCAAATTGTATCATTTTGATCTCTCTTCAATGCATTCATATCTATTCCTTTTCGTTTTTATATGTCACAAAAAAAATCATATCACAAAACATCTGCCAACAATTTGCTTTTGGGCTGAGTCTGATAGATAAGAGACAGGGCAAATTTGGAAAGGCTTATTTTTTCCTTGTGATTTTAACATTTTATTTTATATTCCTGTTTTTTGCTGCACTCCAAAGTCATTTTGACCCTGAGCAGAAAAGTTCAGCCAGACTTCTTTTTTTCTGTCCTTCTATGTCTTCATTTTTTACCTTGCGGTTTTATTTTTAAATGTTGCCAATTTCAAAACTTCTTTTTTTAATCAAATTCTTCATTCAGTACCTATTTTCTGGATGTTGCTCTTTAAAATTGTAATTGCCAATTTTGGTCTGATCCTCATCTAGCTTTAGAAAAGCTCCTCTACCAAGAAGGAGAAAAAACTACCGATTAAAATCTAACCTGACGGCCGGGCGCGGTGGCTCACGCCTGTAATCCCAGCACTTTGGGAGGCCGAGGCGGGCGGATCACGAGGTCAGGAGATCGAGACCATCCCGGCTAAAACGGTGAAACCCCGTCTCTACTAAAAATACAAAAAATTAGCCGGGCGTAGTGGCGGGCGCCTGTAGTCCCAGCTACTTGCGGGCGCCTGTAGTCCCAGCTACTTGGGAGGCTGAGGCAGGAGAATGGCGTGAACCCGGGAGGCGGAGCTTGCAGTGAGCCGAGATCCCGCCACTGCACTCCAGCCTGGGCGACAGAGCGAGACTCCGTCTCAAAAAAAAAAAAAAAAATCTAACCTGACTTTGGAGCTAATGGATAGAAAGCCATGTTGAAAATCAGTTTAGAATTGTGAGAAAACAACAGACTGTGCATTTTACGCAAAATTTGTATAAGCCTGTGAGCTTCAGGGGAATGGGCAACAACAGCCAAATTTCATTTAAGAAAAAATAAATAAGAAAATTAGTGTCGTTTTGTTAAATTTAAATGCAACTCGTTCAAGGTTTCAGAGACCCAAAACTTCTATTATATTTCCTTAGTAAACTCATACGATCTTTCTTCTAAAAGGGAAAGCTGCTTTGTTTCTAACACACCCTAACCTTAGTCTCTATGCGTCAACTCTCTTACTATTTCTTCAGTAAAGCATATATCCTCACGCCTACAAATAAAACAAAGTGAGATACAAACTCCAATGCTTTTTTTTTTTTTTATGTCTCCCAGGCTGGAGTGCAGTGGCGCAATCTCTGCTCACTGCAAGCTCCACCTCCCGAGTTCACGCCATTCTCTTGCCTCAGCCTCCAGAGTAGCTGGGACTACAGGCGCCCTCCACCACGCCCAGCTAATTTTTCTATTTTTAGTAGAGACAGGGTTTCACCGTGTTAGCCAGGATGGTCTCCATCTCCTGACCTTGTGATCCGGCGGCCTCGGCCTCCCAAAGTGCTGGGATTACAGGGGTGAGCCACCGTGCCCGGCCTAATATTTTGTATTTTTAGTAGAGACGAGGTTTCACCATATTAGCCAGGATGGTCTGGATCTCCTGACCTCCTGATCCGCCCGCCTCTGTCTCCCAACAAACTCCAATGCTTTTAAGCCATTTTAGATACATGAGTCACTGGATAGCTGCTAAATATTAACCTGGGAGTGATGGTTGATTCTTTTGAAAAAGAAATAGTCAGTGTCAATGTTTCTGTAACAGAGACCAATAAACTGGAGAAAGGCTGATAATTATCTACAAATTGTAGTCCATGATAAAATTCTTACTGTTTAATATTTTTAGGTTTGACATAGAAAATATATAATAAATCCAATTAACACATTCCAAACAAAACATTCTTCTTTCATTAAATGACATGTGATATATTTAACATGATGTCTTTCTAAAAATATATATTATAAATAAAAGTTCAAAGAGGTATGTGATCATTTTTTAACTATGACAAATATCTACTTTTCTTCAGTGTTTCCAATATGACAGTTTGTTGTTCACTTGATCGTTATCTCATTTAATCTTCAAAACTGTCCCATAACCATTATGATAATTTTGCCAATTACTGAGAAGTCATATAGTTTGCTTGTGTAGTTGATAAATACTTCCTTTACACGTACTTTTCTCTTGTTAGACTCACAAAAATCCGAAATAGTATCATCATTTCCATTTTGTAGATTAAGAAACATAGAGATACTCGCTGAAATGCAAATAAAATTTTGATATTCTGTATTAACATCTGCTTTAAAACTTCGAACAATTGCTACCTCTCATACTTAACACTCACTTGATGTGTAATCCAATGATATTAGAACCAATTGTACTATATAGATCATTTCCTTTTCTGTATTGAATAATAAATTGGAGTGTACCAAAAGTAATTAATAGTCTTCATGGTAAAGATCGGCAGTAAATTGAAAGATTCTTTAAACTTTGAGCTTATTCATTCTTCCATTGAACATTGATTACCAGGAGAGCCTGTGATTTTAATGGCATTATACATAATAATTTCAATTTAAATGAGATTTTGAATATTTTAATAAGCTATGTAGTATTTCCAATAGAATCTATAATTGACATCTCAAAGAAAAACTTTCCTTTTATGCTTTTTATGCTTGAACAAGTTTCTAAAGAGCATTTATATAAAATGCATTTTAACATTTTAATATTGATATTAATGTTTGACACCAAAAGTTGGTAAATTCAGTTTTCCAGAGTACTACCTTCTTCAAAGTGAAACGTTAGAGACCATATTGACCCAAATAAATAGGTCAGAATTTCAAAAGAGTTTTCAAACTATCGTTTAATTGCTCTGAAAAATCTTTTCTTTTGTATTTGTTTAGTGTAAGACTTTCATTCCCATCAGTGCACAAACTTACTCTTTGAAATAGCCAAAAGCTACTGTGATTTATTTATAACACTCTAATACAGTTGACCCTTGAACAAAATGAGGATTAGGAGTGCTAAACACCATGAAGTCGATAATTCATCTATAACTTTTGACTCCACAACAACTTAACTTTTAATAGCCTGTTGTTGACTGGAAGGCTTACTGATAAAATAAACAGTCAATTAATACATATCTTATATGTTATATGTATTAAACACTAAGTTTTTACCAGAAGATAACCTAGAGGATGTTACTAAGAATATCATAAAGAAGATAAAATGTTATTCATTAACTGGAAGTGGATCATTATAAAGGTCTTTGTCCTTATCATCTTCACCCTGAGTAGGCCAAGAAGGAGGAAGATAAGTTGGTCTTTCTATCTTAAAGATAGCAGAGGCAAAAAAAAAAAAAAAAAAAAACTTGTAAGTTGACCACAGTTCAAACCCAAGTTATTCAAGGGTCAACTGTAAATGGCAGTTATGTTACTGAATTGGGTTTGAAATATTAGTCATTATTAGTGACATCAGCTAACATCAGCTGTGTTATATCCAGTGTACCCCAAGTCTTATATCCAGTGTACTCCAAAATTCAGTCCAATTTATATATTTACTCCCAAACTTGTGATTATGCTAAGATTGGTGTCTGATTATAATTGAATAAATTATTAATAAAGCAATCATTCTAATTCTTCTCTGAAATATTCATATTTCATAAAATATATTTAATTAAACTTTTAAATATGTTATTTGCAAAATTGGAAGACACAGTGTAGGAAAAATATTGACAAATTAAATTTACCCTTGCTAGATTTTTACCAGAAGTTAATGTTTAAAAAAAAAATTCAATATCAAACAAATGTGGTAGAGGTCAAAGTATCTCTTCTCTCTCAATGAATACATGTAGAAGAAAGACTTCAGAGAATATTTTAAATTGACAGATCTTAAAATGTTACCATTGTGATAATGAAAAAACATTAATAAATTCTCTAGACTAAAAAAGACAAGTGGGCCGGGTGCGGTGGCTCACGCCTGTAATCCCAGCACTTTTCGCCTGAGGTTGGGAGTTCGAGACCAGCCTGACCAACATGGAGAAATCCCCATCTCTACTAAAAATACAAAATTAGCTGGGCGTAGTGGCTCATGCCTGTAATCCCAGCTACTCAGGAGGCTGACGCAGGAGAATTGCTTGAACCCGAGAGGCGGATGTTGTGGTGAGCCGAGATCACGTCACTGCACTCCAGCCTGGGCAATAAGAGCAAGGCTCTGTCTCAAAAAAAAAAAAGACATGTGATGCCCTTTTTTTGAGAATCCTGTGTTCCAGAGATGCCCACTGAGATTGAATTCCTTGGTGTGCCAACAGAGAGGCAAACCTAGGGTAGCTCTCAAATTAAATAAGCAGGAGGCCACTAGCATGAGATGGTCTCCCATATTTTGAGTTCCTAAGTACAAACCGCAACCTAATTTGGGATTATAACAAATGGCTACATCTTGGCCATCACAAACAGTTGGGCTTCAGCCGTTCACAGGCAGCCCACTCTTCACACCATGCCCAAATTAGGCAAACATCTAGCTGTGTGTAGCCAATCAGGTGATTTCCCTACTTCACATCTGTGTTCTTTCTGTGAAATGAAAGTTGATTAGTCACATTGCTAGGTGGAGCTCTTGGAACCTCTTCTAGTTCTGAGTGCTGCCTAATTTACAAATTGTTCTTTGCTCAAGTAAACTCTACTAAATTTCATTTGCATTAGGTTTTTTTTTACAACACACCAGATTCAGTTCAAGCAATTTAGCATTAACTGAGAGGGACCACTTACATCACAGCTATTTTTACATCAATGACATTTTATATGTCCATGAGAAATCCCATATCTCTGAGACAAAAGGTTGAGGGGAAGGAAGAAAGAGAATCAGAGCAATATTTTATGTTGACAGAACTTACATTTTTAAATTTTACTTGGTTTGGAAAGGACACTAGAAATCAAAAACAAGTACTGTCACTGTTTTTCTTATTATTAATCTTTTTTATAGAGATAAACTGCTATACCTTACATAGACGATGCCACTTTAATGCCATCTCTCAGGAAATTTCTGTAAGGCCTGGATCCTGACAAAAATTCAGACCAACCTTTCAACAAATGCTTCCTCAACAGTACCACCTCTGATTCTTTTTTTTTTTTTGAGACTGAGTCTCACTCTATCACCCAGGCTGGCTGGAAGTGCAGTGGCGCGATCTCTGATCTTGGCTCACTGCAACCTCCACCTCTCAGGTTCAATGGGATTACAGACATCCACCACCATGCCTGGCTAGTTTTTGTATTTTTAGTAGAGACGGGGTTTCACCGTGTTGGCCAGGCTGGTCTGGAACTCCTGACCTCAATTGATCCTCCCGCCTCGGCCTCCCAAAGTGTTGGGATTACAAGTGTGAGCCACTGCGCCTGGCTGTGATTCTTAAATTCAACATTCCAGCCACATTTTAATTACAATTTTCAAGCACCCCATTAATCTCACCTCGAGATCTTAGCATTTTTTCCCTTTATCTTGTAGTGTTCTTTCTTCATCTGGTTAATAATCATGTATCCCTCCTATCTGAGTTTCTAGGTCATTATACATAGAAAACAATACTTAATGACTCATAACATCTGTTAGTTGATCTAGTTTACCCCTTCCCTGTGTTTATCTCTATCATAGCATTTATAGCTCTTGGCTGTAAATCTCTTTACGTGCCAGGTTTCACAAATATTGTGTAACTATAATGAAAGCTGAGACTGTGTATGGCATAACGCTGTCTTTCTAGGGTGGCACAATACCTGGTACATAATTGGAAATTGATTAATACATTTTGGATGTATGGCAGATTACCAAGGTGACTTACACAACTATCAACACCTTTTTTTGGTAAACCCATTGAGTTTTAACAAAAGACTTAAAGGAAACTGTCTCTAACTTCCTTTGGTGTTTGACCACGTAAAGAGAAGACATGTGATTTCAAACACATGAAAGAGTCTTTTAATATTTGGCCCAATAAGAACCTTGAACTTATAAAAAAAAAACTTTGGAAATTATGTAGTTTCATTTTCTTAGGGATTTTCTTAGGGGGCGAAACTAAGCAACAAAGGAAGTATGTAATATATCAAAAAATCAAATCATTAGTAATTGACAGATCAAACATAAAAAGTCAGCCTCGAGTCCAGGTTTGGTGACCCCAACTTTTTTCAGAGACTATTGACCTATTTATTTAGTAACGACAAGATTATATAAAGTCAAAATTTCTCAATTCTTGTTCCAACTGGATCAGTTGCTAGTACCATAATTACAAGCTGACCTGGGCAGATTTGATTCAAATGTCAAATAAGAATAATATCATTTTCATTTTTTAAAAGTTATGCAATAGATTTTTTTATTGCAACTTATCTAACACCTTTCTAGTTTACAGTAGAATTTATTCCTCCTACTTCTATGAATGTGATTGCTTTGCATATGTTTCAGTTTGATCAGAGTTAAGAAGAGTATAAGGTAGTAGACTCTCCAAGAATTACCTTGTGTGTGAATACAGTTGTGTGCTGATAGCTACAGTAATCACCCTAATTTTATTGGCCAATTTTCTTACGCTTAATAGAGAATCTCCAGCATTTACTCAATTCCCACTCTAAAAGTTTTCAGAGAGTATTCTCTACAGGATCACAAATACCTCCACTACAGTTAGTCATGTTCAGTGTTTGAGCTGCTCTCGTTACATGTGTTAGATTTCATGGGGATTTGCTAATGCTCCTGCTGTCATCAGTTTCTTAAAAATGTAGCCCATGCTCCACCTGCAACCACTTTCTTTATGAAATGCATCACTATTGTGCAATTCACAATGGTCTCCTACCACAGATGTAGATGTACATACATAGAGTTAATCTAATTTGTACAACAAATTCTACTTGCTACAATCAATAAGATAAATGAATTGAACTAAATTGAACTAAATAAAGATTAGACTGATCAGAACAGATCTTAGCCAAAAGGCCAAAAGGCAATTAAGCAGAGATTAAATAAGAATAATACCCAGTGCAATGAATCGAGCCCAATGGTGGAACCACAGACTCCAAGTCCATATCCTCAATCTTTCAGCTTTTTCATTGTGTGATTCTGGGCAATTAACTTTATCTGTCTCTAACTCAGTTTTCTGGCTGGTGAAATAGAGGTAAAAATTCCCTCATAGCTTTCTAATTTCCCTCATAGCCATGTTATTAGATTTAAACCAGTTAATATTTCTAAAATGCTTAAAACAATACCTGTCATACAGTATTTTTAAAATGTTTTTTTAATTGGCTTTAAGTGGACATCTGTAAAAATTCAGTAACAGGACTGTAAATTAATATTCTGCAAAATAACTATAAACATTGCGACAAAACACTTCTGCCCTAAAATTGATATAGGCAATACCATGTTAGCTCTATTAAGTGTATTTTTGTCAGCAGATTTATTATAGATTTTAATAACAGAATACTGCAAATCATCAAGCAGGGATATAGTATGCATTGTTTCCCAGTTTACTTGTGAAATCCTTTTTTTCATAAAGATTTTATTAAGATCTTTCATAACTTGTGCACATAATCTTTCATAAGAACACAGATGGGAGATTTTGCCTTAAAATATTGTGCTAATAAGGAATATTTCTATATTATACACTACTATACGCAAGATTTATAAATTATCATCAAGAAATTTTTGCTATGTTAATTACAATGTCTCCCAGTGTAAAAGTTATGAATAATGCACTTACAATGCATAGAAAAAACAAGTATAGATCAGAAATAACATTTATCACTTTTAACACTGAAAATTATTGAACTATATATTCTCGAAGTATGAAATAGTCTGGTTTTCCAGATATATGGAATACACCAATGGAAATTAATTAGAGTTAAATACAATTCAGCTAGTACGCAAACCAGTTCAATTCTGCTTGCTTTTATATCATCTTTAGAAAAATAGTAGGCTATAGCTTTTGAAATAATTTTCAAGTAAATTTAGTTCACATTTAGTCACAGTTTAATAATCCTTACATTATTAAATGTTAAATAGATATTAACATATTTCGGTATGAAGACTGTGAGTTAAAATTTTTTTCCTGATTTCACTTAGGCAGATAAAAAAACATACATTTATATTGGTATTATTCAACAATAAAAGCTGGGATATTGAAATTTCTACTTATGTTAATTTACCATCATTTAATATCCTACATTATAATTATAAAATACATAGTGTAAAAAGTGAAAACTAAATTACTTCCATATATAATAAATATTTTATTGGTATTTTAAGCTAAAATGTTCTATTTTTGTGTTTGTCATTATTGCATTTGAGAATACAGTTTATCTAACAGACTCACACATGTGATGAACAGTACAGTTCCTAATGTTAAAAAAACTAACATATAAATATGTATTCATGAGTGCCTATATGTGTATATTTGAACATATTTGCACAAAAGCTCATAGAACATTTTATAATACTTTTATGTGATCTTTACAAATAAAATGTATACATAGCATTTTTAAAGCATTTCTATTCTTAATATAGACATTCAAAATTCATCAACTCAACAAGAATTCTCTATCAATTAGGTACATTATAATAATTTTGTTAACTATTTTTGGTCACATTTTAACTACTGCTGTAAATAATTGAGTGGTAAATAGTATTTAATTATTCTTTTTCACAGGCAGAAAGTACAGTTAATCAGTTACAAATGAAAAGTTTCACTATGGGAACCAATTATCCAAACATTATAAACAGTAAGATCAGATTATAGATTTGAGTTTCAGGTTTTCATTTGGAAAAGATGGGATTACATAAAACATTAAGCAGAAACGAGCTCTTTTTGTTCAAACATTCTATGAATAAATTATTACACTTTGGTTTTGTTGTACTTTGCCACACTTCTCCATGCTTTATTTCATGATCTCTCTTATGGTTGAAAGGAAGAGTCCATGTGGTTAACTTTTCCATCATATTGTAAATACAAATGCCATGTTCTATTTGGGTACATAGTTCTCTATCATCATTATTTACATCAACCTCAGTTTCTTTGATTACATTTTGCTCATTTCCTTCTAACGAATTGTATTCATTCTAGTTTGCTGATAATTCAACCTCTATTTATTCTGAAAATATTACTGATATTACTAACAGCTCATTTCTAAGACCTATTTCTCAATTTCCATACCCTTGTTAAGCAAAATTACCCTCTTTTGTGAATTTGTGGCTTACTTAATATGTGGCTTATAATGCACACATACAACTCAAGTACCTTTCAATACTTTCCTAGCTGAGCTTAAAATCATATATGCATAAAATTATGCTTTATACATGTTTACAGTATTCTTCATGAGGTATTTAGCATATGGGGAAGAAAATTAGTGCTTGAGTTGGTTTAGTACATCCAAAAGTTTTAGAATAAATATCCGAGAAAAGCTGAACCATAATGTTCTCCAAGTTTATCCAAAGTGAAGTAAACCACTAACAGAAAGATAAATATTGCATGATTTCACTTATATGTGAAATTTAAAGAGTTGTTCTCATAGAAGTAGAAAATATAATAGTGGTTACCAGAGGATTTGGAGGTTATGAGAATGAGGGATATGGTGAGAGCTTGACCAATATGTACCAAGCAATTGTTAGGAGAAATAAGTTTTGGTGTTCTATTATATACTGGAATAACTGGAGTTAGCAATATTTTATTGTATATTTCAAAATACCTGTAAGAGTGATTTAGGTCCTCATCACAAATAAACGATAAATGTTCAAAGTGATAGATATGTTGATTACCCCGAGTTGATCATTACACAATGCATACATGTATTGTAACAATAGGTTTACCCCATAAATATGTAAAATTATTATGTGCCAATCATAAATTTAATAAATAAATAAAAGCTACGGTAATTATTAAAGTAATAGCTTCCAAGTTTCATATATCATTTTCTTTAAAAAGGAGGAATGTCATGTCAGATTATTATTTTTTCTTTGTTAATCTAACTAATAGCTTAACAAATCCAATTTCTGGTCAGTTACTGTTATCTAAAATCTGATCTAAAAAGAACGTAAAATGAAGCTGATTTTTAGTGCTAACGAATTAGCTGTCGGTAGAATCAATTGATATAAAGTGAAATGATACCTGTGTTTCCAAGATGGCTTTTTCAGTTGTTACCGTCATAATGCAATGTTTTTTAATATCGATTAGATGAAAAAACTATGATTTTTATAAAGTTTATAATTTTAAAAAAATTAATTTTTATGGGTACATAGCAGGTGTATACATTTCTGGGGTACATGGGATGTTTTGATACAGGTATGCAATGTGAAATAAATATATCACAGAATGAAGTATCCATCCTTCAAACATTTATCCTTTGAGATACAAACAATCCAATTTCATTAAGTTATTTTAAAATGTACAACTAAGTTATTATTGACCACAGTTACCCTGTTGTACTATCAAATAGTAGGTCTTATTCATTCTTTTTATGTTTGTCTGTGCCCATTACCCATCCCCGCTTCCCTACCCCCAGGCCTCCCCTACCCTATCCAGCATCTGGAAACCATACTTCTACTCTCTGTATCCATGAGTTCAATTGTTTTGATTTTTAGATTCCACAAATAAGTGAGAACATGCAATGTTGGTCTTTCTGAGCCTGGCTTATTTCACTTAACATAATGATCTCCAGTTCCATTTATGTCATTGCAAAAGACGGGATCTCATTGATAATAGTTAGAAAAAAAATCATGGAGCATTGTAACTTCAGTTGGTATATTTGCCTCTTTTTTGACATTAAAACAGGTGATTCCAACTCTCTCCATTTTAAATTAGACATAAAAGTTAAATTTATCTCCACCTTGCAAAGTATTTTGATTTAACTCCCAAGCAGACAGATGGATAAGATGTGATTTCATGTAATTTTGGTTGTTGTATTCTAATTTGAGTTTACAGTTTAAAATCACATTGAAAAATCTCCCTCTTTTTTTAGTCAAATACAGTTACAGAATTTTAGGTCATTAAAAGAATTGTGGCCGGGCGCGGTGGCTCACGCCTGTAATCCCAGCACTTTGGGAGGCCGAGGCGGGCGGATCACGAGGTCAGGAGATCGAGACCATCCTGGCTAAAACGGTGAAACCCCGTCTCTACTAAAAATACAAAAAATTAGCCGGGCGTAGTGGCGGGCGCCTGTAGTCCCAGCTACTTGGGAGGCTGAGGCAGGAGAATGGCGTGAACCCGGGAGGCGGAGCTTGCAGTGAGCCGAGATCCCGCCACTGCACTCCAGCCTGGGCGACAGAGCGAGACTCCGTCTCAAAAAAAAAAAAAAAATAAAAAATAATAAAAAAAATAAAAAAAAAATAAAAAATAAAAATAAAAGAATTGTTATTTTTACCTAGATTTCCAGATCACTGGTTGATAACATTTCAAATTGAGTGAGTAAATAGACTTTGGTTTGTCAGGAATTTAACTATTACTTTCAGGCTACTGATTCTAAAATGTTTATATTTATATTTAGGTTCACTTCCCTGTTCAGTTTCCATGTCAGTCTGGATACCTAAAAAGTTAATCTTTCCATCTTGAGCATGTGATTTTCTTATTTAAAATCAAATATTTACAGTACAATAATATAGTAAAAAGTGAAAATGGGAGACACATTTTGTCTGATGTAAGCATTTGCATCCGTAACTACTTTGTATTATTCTCAATATGTTAGTTTGCCTAAGAGAAAATAAAAGTAAAATCTGTTGTATTTTAAAATACACTTAGACTTTTCATTCAAAATAAACACTATTTATTACTAAATTTATAAGAGTACTCTTAATCAAATTAAATCTGTATAACATTAATAAAATTCTGCTAAAGCATAACATAAAGTATACCAATAGAAAATGTACAGATGAATAAATTTACAGAAACTACATGTAATCCAGCACCAAGACCAAAAAACATAACACCACCAATACCCAGAAACATTTTTGAAAACCTTCCAAGTCACTTCATTCTCCCAGAGGAAAATCACTTTTTCTGATTTTTTACATCACAGATTAGCTTTGTCTGGTTTTGATCTTTATACTAACGGAATCACCTAAAATGTATTATTTTGTGTATGACTTTTTTCATTCAATATGTTTGGGAAATTTGTTCTTATGTGCAGCTGTAGTTTGTTTCTTATTACTGTTTATATTCCACTATGAAAAAATAGCACAATTTATTTATTCATTCTGCTCTTGATGGTCATTTGGGTAGTTTTCAGATTTGGGCAATTATAAATAGCACTACTAAGAATATTTGTGTGTGTGTGTGTGTGTGTGTGTGACAGAATCTCGCTCTGTCGCCCAGGCTGAAGCACAGTGGCATGATGTTGGCTCACTGTAACCTCCGCCTCCCGGGTTGAAGCAATTCTCCTGCCTCAGCTTCCCTAATAGTTGGGACTACAGGCACGTGCCACCATACCCGACTAACTTTTTGTATTTTTAGTAGAGACGGAGTTTCACCGTGTTAGCCAGGATGGTTTCGATCTCCTGACCTCGTGATCCTCCTGCCTTGGCCTCCCAAAGTGTTAGGATTACAGGAGTGAGCCACCACGTGGGCCAGAATATTCTTGTCCATATATTTTGCAGAATAAATGCGTGATTGCAGTTGTTATGTGTGGAGTTGCTAGGTCCTAAGGTGGGTGTGTGTCTAGTTTGAGTAAATACTGCCAAACAATTCTCAAAATAATTGTATCAATGTACATTCCTACCAGCAATATACAGAAATCAATTGCTCCACAGTCTTACCAAAAATTGTCATTTTCTGCCTCAAAAAATTATAGGCTTTATTGAATTCTGATTTTAATATGTATTTTCCTTGAAGCAGGGGTGTGGGAGTAGAAAAAAAAGTATTTTCTTTATGCCTAATAACGTTAACTGTGTATTTTAATGTGAATAAAATAAAGTAAAATACACGAAATGAAATAAAATTTTTAAAAGTGTATCTTTTTTCTTCAAGTGAGCTCCTCTGTAAAGTGAGTTCCCTGTAAAAGAAGCAAGAATTTGTTTCTTTTAAAACAATTGCACCAATAGCCATTTGGATAGTCAGGTTGTGAGGTGCAAAGTTTTTTTTAGTTAATTTTATTCTATGTCTCTCATACCCTATTGGTAGCCAAGTCTGTATTAGATGCTGAAGTTAGAAGTTAGGAAGCAAAGAGGAAACACATGTACATACTAAAAATAGATCTAAGCAAAAGTGCAAACACTGTCTCATGTCCTACAGATTGTACCTAAAAATTCCTATTTAATCAATTTTATTCTTGACATTATCATTGCAACCAACTCTCTTTAGAAAACTCTTATTATTTGACTCTAAGTTGTGTGCGGTCTTCTCATTGGGTGCCTGATTTTGCTTTTTTGTACATATAATTTTAATCTTTTCCCATAAGAACTAGACTTGGCCATGTTATTTTATTTAACCCAAGAAAACGTAAGTTGAAGTGATGTGTCATCATTCTGGGCAGACATGTTAGTGCTATTCACCTTATCTTCTGTCCCCCGCTTTTGTAATCACGGTGGCATGTTTTGAGATGTAGCTTTTGTCACCTACATTTCTCAAAGACCACAATGAGCAGAGACTTTTCACTGAAATATGATGGAAATGTATTATAAAAATAATTTAATTATTTTAATCCATTGAGGTTTGTGTGTTCCTGGTTCCTTTCACATACTCAAACCTTTTCTGACTTATAGTTTCCCTGCCAACTTCCATTCTGAAATTGCCCAAACCTTTTTGATAATAAGATAATATATTATCATCTTAATCATTTCTCTAAAGCTCAGTTCCTACTATGTCTTCAAAATATTACATATTTTCCTACAACCTGTTAAGTCAAATACAAACACTTTGGATCTAAACTTGAGATTGTTTTTATGTTCATATTTGACACTTTGACAGAAGTTGTGATATATTTTGGATATATCCAATTAGACCTGGAAAAGAACAAGTCACAACTTGGCATATCTTCTTCTATAACATTTGTTGAAATTAAAGAAAAATTACTAGTGTAGCTGCCAAGACTGGCTCTGAATCAACAGAGAAAATCTCTAAAGAGAATTACTCTTACGGGGAAAATACCGCAAACACTTATACAATCATATATACAGGGACAAATAATTAGGAATCTAGTTGAAAGACAGTGAAGTTATAAAAACTAATGGTAATCAACTTTTGACTGTGTAATCACTGTCCAGCTACAGAGTGGATAACTGATGAAAGTGGAACTCAGGACAATACCAGCATCGCGTAAGATTGGATATGCAGGTCAGTCAAGCTAAATAGGAGAATTTTGTAGAACCCCAGTTTTGGGGTTGAACAAGCAATGTGAAACAAACCATTACACAGAGATTTTATTTTTCACTTTTAGTATTACCTTCTTTTCAAACTCCTAACTAATGCATCTTAAGATTAAAACAAAATAATCTTCATTTGCTTTCTTCTTGTTATAAACATTTTTGCTAAATGTAGAGATTGATTTACTCTGTCATCAGTTGTTCTATGCTCTATTTACAGTACTTATAGTATTTTTCATTTCCACTCTTGTTATGACACTCATATTACTGTAAGTTTTCTTTACGTATTTTCTGGTTTTTGAAAGTAAGTATGCTATATGGTAATCATATCTAATTCAAACCAAGTAACTTGCTTGTTATTATTTAATGTACATCTGCAAACTGATAGTGATTGAACTGATACATTCTTATTAAAAACGGAGTGTCACAATTTTTTTTCCTTTCACATCCAGGATCTATTATCCATTCTTCTTCACCCTTCCCTGTGTTTTGAGCGGCTGACCTATATGAGCTCCACCTAGTAGCATCCTTGATCTCTGGCTTTCAGTTTGCTTTGGTCAATGAGGAGCCCTAGAAGAACACTAAAGAAAGGGAATAAGTGTAGATTCAATTATTTATTCTCATGAGTCTCTCCTGTTCAATAGCCACTTCTGCTATGCACTTGTGTGTAATTTACTACTTCTTCCCAGAACACTGTATTCCTCAAGGACACAGTACTGTATTTCTGGATTCTAGATTCTAGTAACCAGCATGAACCCTCTTTCTCCAGGAAGCAGTCACAGCTCCATGACAGTAACTGCTCTCTCCTTTGTGTTCTTCTATACCTCATCCACTCTTTCATAAATGACCCCTTAAATTTTTCTACTAATTACTTTACTTGGAACAGACTATTGGTTTTATGATGGGATGCTAACTGAAATAGCAGTTTTCGATAAATTCTGACTCAATGCTGAATATTTGCAGTTAAAAAGGATTTCCATAGGGTAATATTATTACATTTGAGATAGTATTTTGAAAAAAAATTGAAAATAAAAACACACTTCTGGTTAGAATGCTAATATAATAAGAAAAGAAAGTCTTAAAAATGAGTTCTTGACTCACAATTAAATACACAATGTTTATAAATATATTTGTTTTTAAATATCAATGAAATCAAGCTTTAGGAATTATCTGTGGGTATATTTCTATTACAAAAATTTTAATCAAACTCCAGAGTGAGACTATATGCTCACTAATAATTCCGTCACTTGGTGGGTATCAGCCCAATGATCACAACCAAGGAGGATTTAGTAAGGAGATTTTATTACTTGCAAGTAAGCAGAAACATCAGAAAATGAGGCATGATCTGATTGTATCTTGCAATGAGGTGATGTCAAGAGAAAGTACCTGACTGGATCCTGCCATGGGGTGAAGCCAGAGCTTGATCTGGTTAGATCTTGGATCCTGTCATGTGGAATCCACTTCTTAATTCTGTCCCCACTCCTCAGTCCTAGCACTTAGATTCCCCCTGAGGTTACAGGCTTGGTTCCACCAATCTGAGGGGCCACAGCAAGTGAAAAACAACTTACCACTTTGTCACATAAAAGCTAAACCAAATAGGTCTGGTGTTGCTACAGTTTCAAACCCTAGAAGGAGACTGCAGGCTCTACAAAACCATTGAAAATTAGAACCTAGAATTTAGTCGCAACTTTGTTTGCCAGGTGGGGGTGATATAGCTTATTCTTTTTTCAGTCCTACCATTGCTCCAACTTCTCTCTTTTAAAAACTGTAGCCAACAATGATTCTGTCTTTGAGAAATTGTAAGCATTACTTTTCTCTAAGAAGATAAACAATATAAAAATAATAATTATTAATAATAAAGTAACCATTATTTTTGTGTAAACTTCACCATTTTGTCTATAGAGGAAGTTATAAGGTAATGAAAAGGTCTCACCCTTCAGTTTTTGATTTAAGACTGACGAGAAATTAACAACAAGAGGATAACAATGCAATCCCTGACAGAAAATATATGCACGGTGGAGGTTCAAATTTGTCTGTGTTGACTGTCCGGGTATGCAGAATAGCCCAGGTGGAGTTATTTACTTTTCCAATGTAAGAGGAAGACAGTCACATGTCTAATGTGGATATTTAAAAAAGAAGAAAAGAGAAAACAAAGAAAGCCAAACTCCCCTTTCAAACTTGTTCATTCTTAGCCCTTTTTTTTTCTTTCTGTTTTGAGATCTAATCATTTAGCAATGGGAATTACAATATGTTTTGTACATTTCTTCCATTGATAATATGTACTGGACAAGAAGTATGATTTTAGAAATTATAATTTTAGAAAAATTTATGAAAACACATAGTTTATAAAAGTTTTTATAATTCAGCTATTATCTAAATGTTTTTATTTATACATGAATATGGGTACATATATATGTATACATGTACATATATATGTATGTGTCTGTATTCTAATCTATTTATAAATATTTTGGTTCCAAAATACGTTTTATAATAATTTAATGAAAGAACCTATATTATACCTCACTTAGATTTAAAATTTTTATCTGGTGTAGAGTAACACACATAGAAATAATCAGTAATGATAATAATATTAATAAAGGTAAATGTATTGAATACTTCATACACATCAACAGTTATTGATTTTCATTCTTTTTTCAACCCTATGAAGAAGTTATTTTATTTTAGTAAAATTATAATGTTTTATTTATGAAATTAGGGACCAAAATGAAAGAGTCATATAATGTTGGTAATGGTGGTAAATAATTAAAGAGGCTATTAGAAGAAAAATGGTATATTTTACTCCATCTCCCACAAACAGGCACTAGACTTTGACTCTTTCTTAAACAAAAACAAACAAACAAAAAAAACTTTCTCAGATAAAATGTTCTAATTATTTGTATAGTATAAGTTAATGCAAAATAATGTGGGTTTTGCGATTACTTTTCATTGCGAAGGCTGCGATTACTTTTGCGCCAACCTAATAAAAGTCCTTGACACATATGTTAGTCCATTTAGTGCTGCTGTAACAGAAAAACTGAGATATAAAGATGGAGTTTATAAAGAAAAGACTATTCGGCTGACTCTTCTTGTGGCTGGAAAGCTCAAGATTGGATGTCCATATCTGGTGAGGGCCTCAGGCTGGTACACCTCAAGGCACAAAGCGGAAAAGGATCACAAGGTCAGAGCGGAAGCAAAAGAGAAAAACTACAGAAGCCAGACTCTTTTTATCATCTCAACCTTGAGAGAGCAAGAATTTCCTCACCCCTGTGGGAGGGCGTTAATCTCTTCATGAGAGATCAACCCTCATGACTCAAACACCTTCCACTGGGCCCCACACCTCCCAACATTACCACATTGGGAATCAAATTTTAGTGTGAGTTTTGCAGGGAACATAGCAACCTATAGAAACATGTTAAGTCTTTGCTGCCATGATTAGACATGTTTAATAATAAATCACATGCACTTATAACATATATGTGATCTTATTTATTTCAAACTTAATAGATAAATATCAACCAACCACAATTTGTATGCAAATCACAATGTTACAAAGGATCAGCATTATTTCTAGAAATAATAAAAAAGTCAATGGGGCTATAGCACAAATATAATTGTTTATGATCTGTTTACAAGTACTTATGTATATCTTTATTTCTATTTAATACCAATAGAAAAATATAACAATTATAGGTTAGTATGTGTCTTATGTTTTAGATATCTGACTGAAGTGTCTCAAAGGCAAACAAGTTTTACCAAAATTAATCCCTTTTCAGTGAATTGATCAAATGGATGAATTCTGACCCTCTCGAGTTCCTTTCCCCAGTTAGAGTGGGGAACTGGGTGACTGTTAACTGTGGGATTCATTGAAGCATCTTACCCTAAAGGCACCGGAAGACTGAAATGCAACCTGCAGAGCTGGGATTGATTCCAGAGTCTCAGTCTGGCCCCCACTGCAGGAGGCTGCCCTACTCAGGAAGAGATTTAATAGGGAGCTGAAGGAGTCCTTAGGGGGCCAGGGAGATGTGACTGAGACTAGTTTTCCAGGTGAATGAGGTTGGTGGAGGGTTTGATGCTACAGTCGGTCGGAAGATTTGCAAATATAAACACATTCCTGTGTGAGGCACTTTACCCTTTGTCAGTGATTGTGAATATATGCATTTTAAGTGATAAGATACAGCTGGTCAGACTGCTCTGGGCAGTCTCAGTGACACATTTCCTGTGCTGTGATTGTTCTGAAAACAGAGTGGCTCTAACCACTGTGAGAAGCCCAAATAAAAATTGATCCAATAATAATAATAATAATAATAATAACAATAATTTTACTGAGAATGGCAAGAGATAAGCATATGTATCATATTAATTCCCTTCTAAGTTTCTTAAGTGACTTCAATTTCAGCTAAAATTAATCCTTTTACTTGGTAATATTTAAAATAAACTTTGTATTAAAGCAACTGAAGAAAGATTGTACAGTTTTTTTCAAAGCTATGTACATTCAACAATACTATAAGCATGTTGAAAATTAAACATAATTCAGTAAAAAATGTAGTACGTTCTTTTGCATTTTAGACTTAATAACATTTAGCATTCCTTCAACTGTTAATATTAAAATACATAGAAAAACTATAAATACAATATGTTCAATTCCAATGTAAAATCAAGTTTCCCAAAGGGATATTTTTCTAACTCAATGTAATCCAAAAAACTGGGATAAAATGTTGTACAGGTGAATCAAGAGAGTGTTATACAATGTACAGCTCTAAGAATCTGACACAGAAATTTTCAACTTCTATTTACGAATCCACAAAAACTAAAAATCATTTTTAATGCTGAAACTTGCAATTTTATTACAATTGTCTAAATTTCTACTAAATGAATTATCCCCATGAATTTGTGCTATGATTAGATTGTTCTTTACTTTTTTAAACTTATGGTCAGATATCAAATCATACTGCCACATTCTAAGCATCAAGTGGGAATAAGAAGGAAACAAACCAGCAAAAATTAGTAGTTTCTGAAAAAAAATATTGGCTTATAATAAATATCTTTTGTTGGTTTGATCTCTTTACAACACTTAAAGCATAAAAGGTAGTGATAGAAATGTAAAGACATAAAAATTACTTTAAAAATGTTCCATATTAATACAGCACATGACAAAAGAACATTTGTATTTACATGTTTCTTTTGATTCTGATTGGAGATGCAATGATGTTTATAGTAACACAAATAACTGGGCCGCCTAATACAAATTTTGACATGAATGATGCCTGACACAGGATAAGTACTCAATATCTATCAAATGAGTCCTTGATGAGTAAGTTATGCTAAATATGCTTGACCTACTATTGTATCCTAGTCAGTGCAATCAGCATGACTTATAATGATACATGCTAATCGCTATAGTAATTATCATATAGCATTATAAGTATATGCAAAATAAAAAATATGTGGCTTTAGGATAAATCATAACTTTAAACCTAATTGCAGTTATTATAAACATCTCTTTAGAAATATACACACTAATCCTAATTGGAGTCTAACTCAGAGTTGTCCAAAAATTACAAAGTTTGGTGTTGAGGTAGTATAAAATTTTTGGCATAAAGTGGGAAAAAAAAAACTTGCCTGGGAATTGGGCAGTAACTGAAATAATTTTCTATAAGATGGAAACATAAATTTAATGAGAATTTAAATTCTCCATGTTGTATGAAAGAAACTGGAATCTATTAATGAAATATTTAATTTATAACAGTTTTTAATGATTGCCTCTTCTATTTTGCATTCACTACCCTAGCAAATATTTTTATCCATGCTTAGTGTTTGAAACTGTGCAATACTGTGGGTGTGTGAATTACATTTATATGGATTGAGAGCTCTTCAAGTGTTTTACCAGCTAATAACTTGACGATACCCACATTTCAGAATAAATGGAGGAGAAGATATGAAAAAATGAAGTTGAAAAAGACTGACAGCAGATGAATCAGGAATTCATTGTAATAGTACAAACAAACTAGAAGAGAGGCCTGAGCTAATGCCATAAAGAGTAAATGATTTTGATGAATTTCCTTTATGATAATCAGCAAAAATACATAAAATTCTTGGACCAATTAGATGCAATATTTGAGTAAAATTAAGCTGTCTCATATAGGTGTGAGAACATATGAGGCTACATTTCTTCATGTAATATATTTTGTCTAAATACATGCATGTTTTTGGCAGTGCTTGAGACTGGTCATGTGTCCATTAAAGATTATTTAAAAATAAGGTAATGATATTTTGTGGATCTAAATAATCTTCTAAATTATTTTCAAGGCTTAGATAAATAGCGTCCAAGATTTAACAGTATAACAGTGCGTAAATATATGCACCGTTGGTGGTAAAGAATATATGTGTTTGAATTTCAAATGGAATATTGGTGCTTTTTATTTGCTCTATGTGTGGTTTATCTGTCTATTCAGCTATACATATCTGTGAAATCATAGCTAGCTTTTTTTATTGTTGTTGCTGATTTTCATAAAACCTGGAATTGAATAAGATGTCAGAATTTAAATCTAAATGGAAAATTATGATTCAGTGTTGTTTGTACAAGGCAGGTATCTGGATCAAATGAAAAAATAGTTTTTATTCATTCTGATATTACTAATTTTAGTAGACACAACCATCTGCTGTTTGACTGAAACTTTTCAATAAAGAGTATTTTAGTAATATATATCACATGCCAAAGACACAGTCAATTTGAATACATTATTGTAATTTGATTAACTGCAACAAATTTGTTACCGACATCCCTAAAGGGACCATGTTTTATTCAGTTTTAGAATATTTGCATTCAGCAGGTAGTAAGTAGTCCACAAATTATTACTGCGTTAATTACATAATATATGTATTACTAAATTAATATAAATATAATAGTTACATATTTAATGCCATTTAAAGTATTTATGTTTCGCAAATCCAACCAGTTTAGAAATATTTTGTATTTGAAAATAGACATGCCCTGTGACCCAGCAATTCCGTTCTTAAATGTACATGTGAAGTTATACCTAAGTGGAAAAAAGACATTTACAACAATGTTCTTAAAGACATGAATACTAGTAGTTAACGTTGAAAACAAGTCAAATGTCACAATATAATGGTTACAATAAATATATGCATTATGTATGTTATATATTATACATAATAGATATTTATAGATGAGATATATAATTATATAAGTAATTATATAGAGAGAGATATACATATGTTACCAAGGTTATAAGAATAAATATGTACAATATGGAATGTACAGTACTCTGTTGGTGCATAGAAAGTGCTTTGTTTCTTTTGGTGAATACATTATTGTTTACTAACCCCAATTGCATCTCTCCTAAAAGTGAAATGTTGGCAAACAGATTTAAGAAAAATATTGATTAACATACTTTTTGAAATCCATCAATAAGTTTTTCTTAATCAGAAAACACTGAAAATAATCGTTTTAAACTTTATTTCATTATATATATATATCTAATTGCAGATACTTTAGACATTGTGACTGTGTATGCACATGTGTGTTTGTGTGTATATATATAAACAGATATATAAATATATACTGATGTACTTTTTAATATTCAAGTTATTTGCAAATTGATTTTAAAATGTTAATGAAATCTAAGATAATTTAATGTTGTTAAAAATGGAATCAACTACAATATTTTATCCAGAACTTGAACTAGATATCTGCAAAGGTTTTTTGGAAACTAATCTATTGGGCTTATATGTGTCATGTATATGTTTACAAACACATATGAGTTCTCATATAAATGTATTGATACATAAATATGTATATAGATATAGATATACCCACACATCTGTTATTACTATATTTTGAAATACTAAAAGAAGGCAAATGCAAGCACAACTTTGAGCTGACAAATGTATGCAATTAGAAGAAGTACAAGGCAGATGATTTTCTAATGCAATAGGTAACAGTATGGAAAAAGTAATACACTGCCTTCAGGCTCAAAAACTTTGATCTGAAGCAAGATATTTTCTATAATGACTTTCCTTTCTGTAACCTGAATGAGACAGATTTACCCCGAGGTGTATTCCAAGCTAGATGAAAACACTTCAGTTCCCTGAATAATTAGTATTGTGAGAAACTGAATTCGATTAAATAATCATCATGCTACACATCCTAAAAGTGACTAAGCGAATCATTGCCCTACTGGGCAGGAACATCCTATTGTAGTATCAGGCTGTAAAGTCAAAGTGCCTGGCGGAAACTCAGCTACAGAACTGACCAGCTATGTGAACTTAACTTTATTTAAATTCTTTATGACTGAGGCTCCTGATCAATAAAATATGGATCAAAATAACAACTAACTTCATAGTATTTCTGTGATGACTAAATATTTTTGTGATGAACAGTGTATTTTAATATTTAGTATCTAGTATATTTATAGTTCAAGTGTTATAAAAATATTTCATATCATATACTAACTTGATAAATGTTATATATTATTAACAATACTAATGTAGTAATAAACATTATCAGAGAAAGAGAGCAGACCTCTACAAAGTAACTTTTCCAGTTAATGATTTGCTAAGATCATACAAATTAAAAATATATAGCAAATAAAAAATGATTAAGAATATGTTATAAATATCCCAAAGTCAATATTATTCTACTTCATGTATTCAGCAAAAAGTCCAGAAAAAATGTTGATAAATAGCTGGTAAAAGTTAAGATCAATTATATATTATTTTATAAGTTTTTATATATTTTTCACCTTCTCAACAGATGGTGAAATATCTGCTTATAAATATATACCTACAAACACACATGTAAACATGCACATACCTATACATATATCCTTATGCATATGCATGTATATATAATATACATGCATATATACTGACACACATAAAACAAATACATATTCGAACATATATAATATAGTAACATAACACTGTACTGTAAAAATAATTTGTTATAATTATTTTTAACAAATAAAGATCTGGCAGAGGCATAACATTTCTGAAAGCAGAGAAGATAACATTTACGATACCTTTAAAAATGGCAGAAATATGTTTTGCTCATTATTATTTGGATTTGTCTCACCAAAGGGTCATGCATTTCATATAAGAGCTACAAAAACAATTGGTGAAATCCACACACTATGAATTGAGAGAGCTGGATTTGAATCTTTTCTTTTTTGCTTTTTGTGGAGAACAACATCTTGCTTTGTTGCCTTGGCTGGTCTCGAACTCCTGGGCTCAAGCTATCCTCCCTCCTCTGCCTCCCTAAGTGCTGAATTTGAATCCCAAATGCAACAATAATCTTCAGTGAGTTACTTGTCATTCATTTCTGAAGTTCTATTTTCTCATTTAATAAGTAAAGATAGTAACCTACAACTCCACTTACTTACTATATGAAAATGATGGTTGTATATTTAGTTATGTCGAAATGGTAATAACTATTATTATTCTTCAACCAGATTTGTTTTATATCAAAATTTACATTGTAACCCTACCTGAAAAACATACCACTTAATTTTACAGATTCACAATAATTTGGATTGTTTTGATAGTTTATTACTATGACAGGTACTCATTCATGCGTCATTATTATGCAAATTATTTGATACTTTCTATTTTCCACATGCCTGTTAATGAATAAGACACAGTCTCTCCTTTCAGGATGCTTTCAAACTCATATGGGAGGAAGAGAAATCAACAGGAAATTTAATCAATTATAATCAATTTTGATATTAATAAAAGCCAAAAAGATTCATAATTATAGAAGAGAAGTGTTTCATCAGTTTCAGAAGTCATCTGAAAATGTGGTTTATATTACAGTAGGTAGCTAGTCAGGTGTGAGCAGGTGATATGGTTTGGCTGTGTCCCTACCCATATCACATCTTGAATTGCCACGTGTTGTGGGAGGGACCCCGGGGGAGGTAATTGAATGATGGCGGAAGTCTTTCCAATGCTGTTTCCATGATAGTGAATAAGTCTCACAATATCTGATGGTTTTATAGACAGTAATTTCCCTGCACAAATTCTCTCTGTTTGTCTGCTGCCATCCATGTAAGATGTGACTTGCTCCTCCTTACTTTCTATCATGATTGTGAGGCCTCCCCAGCCATGTGGAACTGTAAGTCCATTAAACCTCTTTCTTTTATAAATTGCCCAGTCTCTGGTATGTCTTTATCAGCAGTGTGAAAAATGGACTAATACAGCAGGGCTGGAAAGGGCTCCTCCTACACCACCAGGAAAGTCAGGTGACCATAAGGTGAGGGTCAGGTTGTTGTTTCTCTAAAATAATAATTGGTCACAACCAGCACCAGGGAAAGGCAGTTTCCTGACAGATAAAAACACCTGACAATGGTTATTGGCAGCTTCTCAATAAGATCTCAGAAACTTGGTGAGTGAGCTCCCACATGTGCATTAAGAGGCAAAATGGTAGAGTTTAACTGGTATATGACCTTCCTGGGACATTCCCCTGGAAAAGGGAAAGGGAAGAACGCCTCAGGTGAGCACGCGTTCAACTCCAGTAAACACGATGTGCATGCTCCCCTCCAGAATGCTAGCAAGTAACTGCTCATGCAGACAACCCACCCTCTTGGGGGAGAATGAGTGCAAGACCCCAGAAGTATGCCAACATATAAAACCTTAAGTCAAAAGGTCAAAACCTGCCCTTGTCCTTCAAGTTGCCTGCTTGGACCTCTTCCAAATGTACTTTCTTTCCTTCCTTTCATTTCTGTTCTAAAGCTTTTTAAATAAACTTCCACTCCTGCTCTGAAACTTGCCTTGGTCTCTTCTTCTGCCTTATGCTCCTCAGTCAAAGTCTTTCTTCTGAGGAAGCAAGAATTGAGGTTGCTACAGACCCATACTGATTCAACACCTGTAACAGTTTATACTGATTACAGCAAAATGAAATAGTGATAGCTAGGCAATTGGAAGGGAGAGTGTTGCAGACAAGGAGAACATAAAAAAAAAAAAGCCTCATGCCTGTAATCCCAGCAGTTTGGGAAGCTGAGACGGGTGGATCACCTGAGGTCGGGAGTTCGAGACCAGCCTGACCAACATGGAGAAACCCCGTCTCTACTAAAAATACAAAATTAGCCAGGCGTGGTGGTGCTTGCCTGTAATCCCAGCTACTCAGAAGGTTGAGGCAGGAGAATCGCTTGAATTGGGCAGACAGAGGTTGCAGTGAGCCGAGATCATATCATTGCTCTCCTGCCTGGGCAACAAGAGCAAAACTCCATCTCAAAAAAAAAAAAAAAAAAAAAAAAAAAAAAGCTACAAGTAATTAATTATGACTGGATCATATAATTTATGATAACCAGGAGTGTTGCCTTCAATGGCATGTTCTTTGTAAAAAGTGCATTTATGTTAAAGATGAGAAGGCACTGACAGATTTTTTTAAAAAAAGTGAAGTGAGAACTGAAATATTAAATTATGTATTTTAGAATAATCAATTAAAATTGTATGGAGAAAAGTGTGGCTATAGTCTGGGAGAGTTATTAATAGGCGATTTCAATTATTTAGGCAAGAGATCACAATAAGCTATTTTTTTCAAAAAAAGCATATCAGATAAGAAGTAAATGATTTCAAGAGACATTAGACAAATATTTGGTAAATAATTGGTTTAAGAGTGTAAAAGACTACGTAGGAAACTTTCAGTAATTTAAATCTTTTATGTAGGAGGAATATTATAAGGGGCATATGATGTCTGAATTTTTGAGGATATATCAAAGGTAGAGAAAAATTTCTTTAATTTCAGGTCTTAACCCACCAATTTCAGGCAACTTCCAAATTAGAATAGGAATGTACTTGAAGTTTTAGATTTAAGGTTTGTCAATGGAAGCAAAATACAACTTTCTAAACCACTTTGGAATTAGTTACAGTAAAAATAATGTACAGTATAGTGATTTCAGCTAAGTTTATGTCTTTTCGTATTTGAGATTTAAAAAGTGTGATCAACTGATTAAAAAAAAATGTTTATGCTCAGAATTGGTCTGATGACCAAGGCTAAAATTGTAAACATTTCTCTTTTAAATCCCTGTGATGGCAATGTTTGGAAGAACAAGCTTTGGTTAAGATAGTAGGAGAACTGAACTAAACAAAACACAAACATCAAAAACAGAAACAACAGAAAAGGAGAGGTTGGACGGGAGAAGAAGTAAAAAATGATTATTCCAAGTTTATGGATACAAAATACACAATTAGTGATATGGGAGGGGATCAGGGAAGGGCTGGGAAGGGAAAGGCATGGTCCCTGGCTAGGTCTCCACCCCCAGGCCTGTGCCCAGGGACCTAGGTGAAGACAGGCATTTCTGTTTTCCTGCCCACATGTTCCATTCCGCAAGACCATCCTGGCCCATCACACCCCCATCCTGTGCCTATAAAAACCCCGAGACTTTAGTGGGCACACACACAAGCAGCTGGACATCCAAAGGAACACACCAGTCGAAGACACAAGCAGCTGGACATTGAGAGGAACGCACCTACATAGGAGCACACCAACAGTCACGGACAGGCCATCGACTAGTGGAATGATGAGTAGTTTGGCCAGGGGAGAGCCTGGCCACTAAGTGGCCTGACTCCAGGGGATAACCACCTTTCCACTCCATTTCCCTTCTGGCTCCCCCACCTGCTGAGAGCTACTTCCACTCAATAAAACCTTGCACTCATTCTCCAAGCCCATGTGTGACCCGATTCTTTCAGTACCCCAAGGCAAGAAAGCCCGGGATACAGAAAGCCTTCTGTACTTGTGATAAGCTGGGGGGTCTAATTGAGCTGACTAACACAAGCTGCCTATGGACAGCTAAACTGAAAGAGCACCTGTAACACACGCCCACTGGGGCTTCAGCTGTAAACATTCACCCCTAGACACTGCTGTGGGATCAGAGCCCCACAATCTGTCCCGTCTGCATTCTCCCGCTAGAGGTTGGAGCAGCGGGGCACCAAAAAAGCGGACCATACGTGCATCGCATGCCCTGCAAGGGGGACAAGGGAACACTTTCCATTTCATTAGTACAAGGAAATCACGTCAGTAAATGAGAATTAAAATGGGTGTAGCAGAAATAAAAATAATAAAGGGTCATAAATGTAAGTCTCTCAAAAACATCAAGATCTTGCCATGATATTTTAGTTATAGTTGTTTTAAAGTTTTAATATAGACAGGTTTGGGGCTAAAAAAGCAATCAGGAATTTAGTGGGGTATCATGAAAGAAGGCAAGCTGCATAAATGGCATGACCAAAATTTGCATATAACATTCAACAAATAACTTGCCTGAACACTAAACAATGCCTGTCTGGAAATCACCATAGCCCTAGTGAAAGTAACTGAAAGCTGGAAAAAAAAAAAAAAAAAAAAACGGATACTAGATGTTAGATTTTTCTCTACTACTAGGAGACTAGAATCTGTACCATACATCCAGTCAAGAAAACTCCCTGCTACTATACGATTTCCTATTAATAGAACATAACATAATCCAGTGTATCTACAGGATATTAATCATATGGGCCTTATTTCAACAAAAAACAGATATAAGACAAGACAGAAAGTGCAACCCATGTTCAAGAAAAAGTCAGTCAATAAAAAATGACCCTAAGGAAACCTCAATGTTGCAATTATAAGATGAAAACTTATAAAGAGATATTATACCTATGTTCCAGGTTTGGGGTGGGGGGAAAAGCAATGAATGACCAGATGTAAACTTTCAGTAGAGAAATAGAAACTATAAATTACAGAAAAAACAACAACAAAATACACCTGAATTTAACACCTAAGGAGTTAAATGATAATTGAAAAATGGGCTTAGCTGGAAGAAATAGAAACAGAGGTAGAGGGCAGATAAAATGTTTCAAGAAATGGGTTCAACAGCTCACTAGCACCCAAGCATCCTTACAAGCACCCAGATCACTGCCTACCTGAACCCAGGGATCCTGTCTGCAAGCACTGAGCCTAAACAGCATGACCTTACAAAACTCGAGGCCCTGCCTGTTTCCAGATCGTATTGTTCCTGCTGTCTTGCCCTTTGTTCCCTTGCAACATATCTCCCCCTTTCCTCTAAATAAATCTGCCTTTCTAAACTTATTACTGTCTTGGTAAATTCCTTTACCACCCACGCACCAGCCTCAGACAGTGACCACGACATATACTAGCACTAAAATAAATATCCTGTTGATGGATTAGAGCAGACTGCAGGTGGGCCAGCCCGGAGTCAGTGATTTTGAAGATAGAACAATTAAAATTACCCATCTGAAGAAGAAACAAATATTAAATATAAAAAGCTGGAGCCTCAGAGCTTAGATGGAATTTGATTTCCCAAAGAGGAGTCATAGGATGGGGCAGAAATATATTTGAGTCATAGGATGGAGCAGAAATATATTTGAAGATACAATGGCCAAAATTTACTTAAATATAGTGAAACATAATTTATATATCTCAAAACCTTAATACAACCCAAGCAGGACAAACACAAAGAATATCACCCCTATGCACAAAGTCATATTGCTAAAATCTAAATATTAAACACACACAGACACACACACACACACATACACACATACAATCTTGAAAACATAAAAGTATATGTGGAACCACACATTACATACAGAGAAAAAACAAATAGCCACGATGGCTAATTTGCATAAGAAGTGAGAAGACAACCAAAAAGCATATTTAAAATATATAAAGAAAAATTTTTGTCATTTCAGTTTTCTAGGCCATAACAGCCAAGACTAAAAACAAGTAAGTCCATCAAGTGAATGTTGAATAAACAAATCATCGTGTAGTCTTACAGTGAAATATTATTTAGCAATAAAAAGAGGGCTGCTGACACATGTAACCTGATTGAGGAATTCATACATTATATGAAGTAGAAGATACACACACACACACACACACACACACACACACACGAACATTACGGTATGACTCAATCTACATGAAATTTTATAACTGGAAAAAGTATATGGTAAATAAAAAATCAGTTGTCTGTGGAGAGTGGGATGTGGGCAAGAGAAATTAGCAAAGTACAAGAAAAAATGTTTGAATAATTGGAAATAGATTTTTATGATTGGAGTGAGATTCATATAGCTATACTCATTTTTTAAAAATATACAGCTAAAAATTCGATATTTCAATGTATGCAATTTTGAATTTTAAAAACCTATAAAATAATAATAATCACTATTATCTAGAGAGGAGTGAGGAGCTGATGTAGGTATGGCAGATGGCAGAATATTGATAATTGTTGAACCTGAGTAATGAGTAAATTTGAAGCTGGTAGTTTATAACATTTTTTTTTACTATTGTATCTAAAAATTTCCATAACAACTGCTAATTTTTTAAAAAACTACAAAGAATCATTTAACTGACCTCTGAAAAAAGATAACATTAAATTATTTATACTGTCATTCAATAAACATGTCCTGTGTTGTGGGCATGAGACTTAGCATACTGACTTGAATATAGCATCAAACTAAAAAAACAGCTTTATAGGGTCAATCAACCATTTCATCATTTGCAAACCCTCCATGAGGCTAAAAGGGCAAAATGTAATTCCAGAATCCATATTCTTAACCCATACTCTCTAAGAGCTTACTCATTACTGTAAAAAAATCTTTACTTAATAGAACTATACCATGAAATTTATAATTTTTAATTAAATTCAAATATTTTGGTATAAATAAGTAAATGAACCTCAGTGAGTATTTTTTAAACATTTAATAGTTTAAACTATATTTTTAAAGTTGAAATATTGCTTAAAATATGAAGCAAACTGTCTAAGAATTCTGCTGTAAGATATATTTTTAAAATAAAAATTCCCAAGCCAACGAATAAACCAAAAAAGAAGCTCAAACTATACATTAAAAAGAAAGCATAATAAGAAAACTTAAAAAGTTTTTCTTATTGTTCAGGATTGAAATTTGTTATGGGTTACTGAGTCTTCCATAAAATGAAGCATAAAGTGTGAATAAAGAAATCAGATTTGTATGGTCAGCATTTATGGAGAAAATAATTTTGCAAATGTTTCATCTGTAGAAGCTTTGATCCAAGGATCTAAAAAAATGTCTAAAACTATTTCAGTTTTTACTAAACTTGTCAAGTATCTAATTTACAAACAAGATTGCTCTTCAAATCATATATTCATGTGATAGTACTTGCTTCTTGCCTCTAGTTTTGCTAGTTTATTTAAGGCAGTTTCAGTGAGACTAAAAAATGAATAGAAGTGAACAATAAAAATGTAAAATGCAATGACAAATTTTTAAATTTCTTAAACTAAATAACCTGTCATTGTTCTGGGGAATTTAGAGCAGAAATCATGCAACAAGTATTTTTAACAAAAGCTAGAGTACTTTAAGACAAATAGAAATAAATATACAAGCAAATCATTTTGTTTAGAATTTTAGAAGAAAATAAAGTGAATACTGAAGTTTCAACATTACCACTAATTGCCTAACTTCTTCTTTGGTGTCTCTCTTCCTCAAGGAAGTGTTTAAACTAGATGCTATCTAAGTTTGTTTTCAGGTCAAATATTCTGTGATCTTGCTATAAATGTAAATAACATTAGAAAAGGGACATCGTCTCTGGTTATCTGTATGGATAATTACTTGTGTAATAAAATACCCCTGCACCTATTGGTGCTTTTTAAAAAAGGGAAATTCATATGCATATTAGATAACTTTATTTCAAAAACATTTTTTGCCCAAATCAAAAGCAATTAAAATTGAATTAAACATTTTTTTTAAATAATGATTTTTTAATAGAGAGATGTAAGATACTCCTCTATTAATACCCAGAAATGCAGCTCCCTGGAAAAGAAACACATACCCAAGTTTCAGAGGAAATATGATTCTTATTGCCCTTCCTCTTCCAAATATCATTCTCATTGAGGAAATAAAACTGCTAACAACTTAGGAGTATGCCTTATTCTCTTTAGCTTATTATCTCTACCTCTCTACCAAAGGAGAAACTGATAACAGTAAGCTCTTTAACACTTTCTACCGTGACCACATTTTGGAGAATATTGATACTTTAACAATACTGAGTCTTCAGAGGAAACATTAATATGTTAAAATTTTCAATTCAATTTGTTTAGGTATTAGCCAATTTATTTATATTAGAAATATTTTCTAACATTTTCAAGTACTCAGTGTACAGCTATTGCATTTTTGTTTAATATATAATATTGTGTGTCCTCTTATAAATGGTAATGTTTCTATTTAATTTCTTTCTTTTTTTTTTTTTTTTTAGAGGGAGTCTGGCTCTGTCGCCCAGGCTGGAATTCAGTGGCATGATCTTGGCTCACTTCAACCTCCACCTCTTGGGTTCAAATGATTCTCCTGCCTCAGCCTCCTGAGTAGCTGGGACTACAGGAACACACAACCAGGCCTGGCTAATTTTTGTATTTTTAGTAGCGATGGGGTTTTGCCGTGTTGGCCAGGATTGTCTCGAACTCCAGACCTCAGGTGATCTGCCCACCTCGGCCTCCCAAAGCGTTGGGATTACAGGCATGAGCCACAGTGCCCAGCCTGTTTTTATTTTAATTTCTGATTACTTATATTGATATAAAGAAATGCAACTAATTATTATTATTAATGATAATATTATTATCATTCTATTATCTTGCCAAGATCACCTGTTAGATTTGGTAGCTTTTTGTGGGTTTCATCAGGTTTTATAAGTAACAATATTGTCTGTGAATAAAAGAGTTTACCTGAACCTTTCAATAAACACTCCTTTTATTACATTTTCTTTTTTTGGCTTCTGCAATGGTTGCAACCTAAAATACAATGTTGATGCGGTGTGATGTGATTGGAAATACTTGCCTTAATCTTGACTTTAGGAGAAAAGCATTAGAAATTGAAATGCTAAGTATTATGTTAGACATAGTGATATAGGAGTTAAAAAGAAATTACTTAGGCAGTTACTGAGGGTATGGGAGTCCTCGATAAGGTTTTCCATTTAATGAAAAGCAGCCCTCAAATCATTTTCTTGTCTAACAAAGAGTAGCCTGTATAATAGAGCTGCAGACAGAGACAAGCAAGATGGAAGCCTGCATGCGTGAAGGCCAGCAGCCGTGTCAATAGGAAAAGGCTACCTGGGGACTAGGCATGTGCAACATCACAGCTCCATCTTCCCTTCTTGCCAATCATGTGTGCAGTAGGAAGAGGACAACACGGTGCAGGCCAAGTAAAAACTCATTTGCATATTAAAAAGATTAGGGACGGGCAGCCAGCTTCTTTGTCTGCTATGTTAACTTCACACCTAGTCCAACCAGTTTTGGGGCCCTAAGTAAATCAGGCACCACCTCCTCAAGCCTGTCTATAAAACCCTACACACTCTTACATGGGCTGGAAGTCCCACTTGGGCACCCTCTCTCAGGAGAGAGAGTTATTCTCCTTTCTCTTTCCTCTGCCTATTAAACCTCTACTCCTAAACCCACTTCTTGTGTGTCAGCATACTGGATTTCCTTAGTGTGAGACCACGAACCTCCTGTATTTACCCCAGACAGTGACGCTGCTTCAATAGTTTATTTAGGTGACTTTTATCAGGTTGAGGGTATTCCTAGTTTGAAGAATGTTTTCTATCAGGAATTGATCCAAGATTTGACAAATACATCATTTTAAATGTTCTACAATAATTATTATTTTTTTCATTTTGGTTTATAACTATGATGACTTGCATTGATTGATTTTCAAATAGGAGGCCAACTTTACAATCTTAGTCCAAACTTTACTTGATCACGGTGCATATGCATTTTAAATAATGTTAGATTTGTTTTGTTAAAATTTTGTTAAACATTTTTGCATCTAAGTTCTTGATTGATATATAGTTTTCTTTTCTTGGAATGTTTGTGTATGTTTTTGGTGTCAGAGCATTTTGGGTTATAATTTCTTAAAACAGATTTTCTATTCTCCTTTTTTTTCTCTTTGTCCATACCAATTACACAATATGTTAGGCTTTAGAAATTACTCCAAGCTTAAATTGATATTGCTTGTATTTTATTGTTGCATTTTTTCTACTTTTTGTATCCTTTTGTGTATTTTCTCTTCTTGACTTCCAGTCCATTATTCTATTTTTCTGAAAAAAGTTCATTCTGCCATTAATTCCTTTTATTTCTAGAAATTTGATTCACATATTTTGTAGAATCCACATATCTGTTTAACATGTTCAATCTTTTCTCTAATTTTTATCAATAAGATATATAATAATTTATGTGAAGTCCCTATCTGCAATCTAGACTCTTTATCAGTTTGAGTGCAGTTTTTAGTGATTGATTTCTCTCCGCCATATGTGTCATATTTTTCTGCTTTGCTCATTGTCTGATTGATAATTATTTCTTGTATGTCAGATAATTTCTTCTTGGATGCCAGTTTTCACTTGGATGCTGGTGAATTTTACATTTTGAAGTTTTAACTAAGTTTATAAATGTATGTATATATGCGCGTGTGTGTGTGTGTGCGCGCGCACGTGGTGGCGCAATACGGTTTCACTGCAACCTCCTCCTCCTGGGTTCGAGCGATTCTCCTGCCTCAGTCTCCTGAGTAGCTGGGACTACAGGTGTGTGCCACCATTCCTGGCTAATTTTTGTGTTTTTAGTAGAGACAGGGTTTCACCATGTTGGCCAGACTGCTCTTGAACTTCTGACCTCAAGTGATCCACCACCTTAGCTTCCCAAAGTGCTGGGATACACACATGAGCCACTGCACCCAGCCTTAAATTCTCTGAAACGTAAAAACATTCCAATATTGTGGGTCCCTACTTTTAAGATTTGTTAGGTGAGACAAGAGCATAATTTATTCTAGCCATAATGATTCTGCAGTACTGTCTCCAATTCTTCTTCTCTCTGCTCTATTTTACATTCCATGACTTTCGAGGCTTTCTAACGGGTTTGTGAAAATGGGCATTATCTCAAGTCTTATGTCGCCTCCAGATACGAATCGCAGTACTTCTTTTTGGTTACTTTTTCTCTAGCCTTGAACATTTTTTTTTTTTCACATTCATGCACTAATCAGTGTTCTGCTGAATGCTTGAGTTCAGCAGAACTCAAGCTGAACTTGTTTGTAGGTATCCATGGTTTTTCTCTTTGTGCTTTTATCTTCTTTCTACTGCTCTTTTCTTCAGTTCCTATCTATCTTGTTCTCCTTGAATTCTCACTATGTTTATTCATCTCAGAGTTCAGTGGATTACCTCTCCTTTTGCCACAGTTTGGAAACTCTGTCAAGGCTACTGCCAATTATAGGCCTCATCTGGTTTCTTTCATGTCTCCCTAGGATAACTGTGTTTCATGACATGACTTCCAATGTTTGAAAACTGTAGTTTTTGTTTGTCTGGTTTTATTTCTGTCAAGTGATGGTACGTGTAAAATTTTTCTGTCACCTCATCTTGTTAAACAACAGAAGTGTACTGTATTGGCCTTTAGTATCTGCTTCTCTTTAGCTTTCCATTTTTAAAAATCCATGACCCCCTTTTTTAATGTGCTCACATCAAAAGTTTTCTGCTTCTTGCTCTTGCACACCATATCTATTCATGAGCAAATCCTGTGGGCTCTATTATCAAAACATATCCAGATTAGACAGCTTTAAATCAGGTTCTTCTAACATTTTTTCCTAAGTCTACATTATTCCTCATAAATAATGAAAAAATGTATATAATAGTTCTACATCCATATTTCCCCCCTTACATTCAATAATCTTCACAGCAGGTATAGTGATACTCATAACATTGTTTACTGCATATCATATTTTTGCTCAAAATTCACCACTTCATTTCTATTTATACGAGTGAAACACAAAGTCTCTTCCCTACTCTTTCAGTCTTCTCTGGTATTGGCTTATTACTCCCCATTCTTCATTTTCCTCCAGTTTTCCTCATATATTCTTTGACATTAAGACACACCAAACATGCTATTAATTTTCCCTGGAAGCATGCAATCACAGTTCCTGCAGGTCCACCTCATCATTGTCTTCCATAACCATATTATGAAATGCATAATCCCATTAATCTCTGTCCCACTTTAGCATATTTGTATTATAACCAGCACAATTTAACATATTAAAAACTTATTTTCTCTCCCACACTTCCCTAATTTGAATGTTGAAAGCAGTACATATTTAAAGGTTGTTTCTTGCCATAGTCCTATCTGTACCCCAGGATTCAAGGTCCAGTATCTGATACACTTCAGTCAATAGCAAATATTTGTTATTTGTATTAAATAGATGAGATTAAATAGATCTACCAATCTAATAAATTATTTTTAAAAATATTCAGAATATTTGTGTCACCTAATTAATCATTTGAAGAGCCAAGAATTTAATTCAGGAGAAATAAATAATTTATTATATATAGCTACTAAGATGCATAAAGTTACATTATTCACAAGGTACCTAGGCAATATGAATTTATTTCAGGCACATAGAAACAAGTCATTAATAATTGTCTTATTTTTTATAATTAAAGATTAAATTTGTTTATTGTAACTTTCTATTAATGTGAGATGTAGTTTATCCTGGTATTTGAGACACTTTGTGAATACTATATTGGGTCTTTGGAATCATATCGATCATCAGCTACATGTACTAGAAAATAATGGATGTGTTCTATGTAGAAAACTCTTTCAACTTTTAAAGGAAAATGAGAAACAGTACAGGTAATTGATAACATATAGTTCTTGTGTTCCAAACACCTAATAAAATGTCTCAGTTAGCTAGAGTTTTATGCAAGAAGTATCTCCATTTGCTTATTACATGGTTCAATATATCCATTAGGCCAGTAAAGTTGATAGAGGTTTTCAAATCCTCTCTGTCCTTATAGAGCATTTTCTCTCCTTGATCTATGGAGAAGCTCTAAAGTAGAACTATATATAGATGATTTAAAAAGTGATCAATTTATTTTTATCTGGGCTTTATATATCTGAAGGTGTATTTTTGAAAGCTTAGCGTTATGAAATTATGTCTTTTGGTGAAAATTTTTTTCTCATGTAACAACAGTATTTATCACTATCAATAACTGTACCACTTTAATCTATTTTATCTATTAGGTGCATGTTTTAGCCTGTTCTCACATTGCTAATAAAGATATACCTGAGACTGGGTAATTTATACGGGAAAGAGGTTTAATGGACTTACAGTTGCACACAGCTGAGGAGGCCTTACAAGCACGGTGGAGGTGAAGGAGAAGCAAAGGCACATCTTACATGGCAGCAGAAAAGACAGAAAGTACAGGGGGACTCGCCTTTACAAAACCATCATGAGATGAGATGAGACATAATCTCATGAGACTTACTCACTATCACGAGAACAGCATGAGAAAGGCCAACCCCATGATTCGATTACCTATCACTGGTCCCTCCCACTACACTCAGGAATTGTGGGAGCTACAATTCAAGATAAGATTTGGGTGGGTACACATATAAACCATACCATTCTGCCCAGGGCCCCTCTTAAATCTCATGTTCTCCCATTTCAAAACTAATCATACCTTCCCAACAGTCTCCCAAAATCTTAACTCATTTCATCATTAACTCAAAAGTCTACAGTCCAAAAGTCTCATCTGAGACAAGGCACGTCCCTTACACCTAAGAACCTGTAAAAACAAAGCAAGTTAGTTACTTCTTAGACATGATGGAGGAACAGGCATTGGATAAATACACCCATTCCAAATGAGATAAATTGGCCAAAATCAAGGGGCTAAAGGACCCACGCAAATCTGAAATCCAGTGGGGCAGTCAAGTCTTAAAGCTTCATGATGATCTCCTTTGACTCCATCTCTCACATCCAGGTCATGCTGATGCAAGAGGTAAGCTCCAATGGCCTTGGGCAGCTCTGCCCCCTTTGGCTTTCCAGGAAATACCCCTCTTCCTAACTGCTTTCAGGGGCTGGCATTGAATGTCTGTGGCTTTTCCAGGTGCACGGTGCAAGGTGTCAGTGGATCTACTATTCTGGGGTCTGGAGGAACGTCGCCCTCTTCTCACAGCTCCACTAGGCAATGCCCCAGTAGGAGCTCTGTGTGGGGACTTTGCCCCCACATTTTCCTTCCACACTGCCCTAGCAGAGGTTCTTCATGAGGGCCCCAACCCTGTAGTAAACTATTGCCTGGGCATCTAGGCATTTCCATACATCCTCTGAAATATACCTGGAGGTTCCCAAACTTCAATTGTTAACTTTCCTACCTCCTCAGGCTCAACACCACATGGAAGTTGCCAAGGCTTGGGGTTTGCACCTTCTGAAACAACACCAAAGCTGTACCTTTGCCACTTTTATCCATGGCTGGAGGGGCTGGGATGCAGGGCACAGAGTCCCTAGGCTGCACAGAGCAGGGAGGCCCTGTGCCTGGTCCATGAAACCATGTTTTCCTCCTAGGTTTTCAGGCCTGTGATGGGAGGGCCTGCTGTGAAGACCTCAACATGTCCTGGAGACATTTTCCCCATTGTCTTGGCTATTAACATTTGGCTCCTCGTTACTTCCACAAATTTCTACAGCTGGCTTGAATTTCTCCTCAGAAAATGGATTTTTCTTTTCTATGTGATCGTCAGGGTGCAAATTTTCCAAACTTTTATGCTCTATTTCCCTTTTAAAACTGAATGCTTTTAACAGCACCAGGTCACCTCTTGAATGCTTTGCTGCTTAGAAATTCCTTCCACCAGATACCCTAAATCATCTCCCTCAAGTTAAAATTCCACAAATCTCTAAGGTAGGGACAAAATGCCACCAGTCTCTTTGCTGAAACTTAGCAAGAGTCACCTTTACTCCAGTTCCCAACAAGTTGCTGATCTTCATCTGAGACCATCTCAGCCTGGACTTCATTGTCTATATCATTATCAGCCTTTTGGTCAAAGCCATTTAAGTCTCTAGAAAGTTCCAAACTTTCCCACATTTTCCTGTCTTCTTCTGAGTCCTCCAAACTGTTCCAAACTCTGCCTATTACCCAGTTCCAAAGTTGCTTCCACATTTTTGATTATCTTTACAAAGCACCCCACTCTACTGGCAACAATTTACTGTATTAGTCTGTTCTCCTGCTGTTAATAAAGACATACCCAAAACTGGGTAATTTATAAAGGAAAGAGGTTTAATAGACTCACAGTTCCAAGTGGCTGGGGAGTCCACACAATCATGGCAGAAGACAAGCAGGAGCATGTCATTCCCTTTACGGATGGTGGAAGTGGAGAATGAGATCCAAGTGAAAGGTGTTCCCCTTATAAAGCCATCAGATCTCATGAGAAGTATTCACTACCACAAGAACACTATGGGGGAACAGTATGGGAGCCCCATGACTCAGTTATCTCCCACTGGGTCTCTCCCACAAATGTGGGAACTATGGGAGCTATGATTCAAGGTGAGATTTGAGTGGGCACACAGCCAAACCATATCAGTGCATAAGCCTTCTTTGCATTAGTATTTGCTTGGTATACATTCTTTATCATTTATATTAAATAATTTCAATATTTTGTGTCCATGCTTTTAAACTACAGAGGTCATAGCTAAATCTTAATCACTAATTCAGACTGATAATCTTTGGTTTTAGTTGTGAGAAATAGCAATTGTCATAACTGAGTACTAAGCTTTGGTTTAACTATTAAGTATTCTCTCCCTCCACACTGGCAGCTAGGTGAGGATAGTTACTCTGCTACTTTTGCTTTAATTGAAAATACCTAGAAATTCTTAATAAAGATATACTTAATAAAGATTAATAAAGATATACTTAATAAAGATATGGGTATGAGATACAACAAATAAATGAATTACAGTTTGAATTTGAATCCTCGAATATTTGCTCTGCTCTCACTAAGACACACAATTGTTGGTCTGTTGATAAAAACATTATAAAATTTGATATTTATTATGTCTTATTTATAATAGACAATATATTATAAATAATAACTTAGGCCATTATTTTTCTCTATTGTAAAGGATAAAAATATTTCAATCAATATATTTATTGTAAATAACATAACATAATTTTCTAGGATCTTACAGAAAAACAAAATTTTAATGCGAAATCCTCTCTATTTGGACAATATACATTTTGAGTGTAGGATTTTAATTTAACAAGTCATAATTGACTTTATTCTATTTGCTTTATCCAATAAAGTTGTGATTTGTTTCTCAAAGTCGTTTTACTGATTAGATAAGATTTGAGTAGTGTTATGAGAAGAAAAATTTAAGTCGAATTTCCTTACCTCTGCTCTGTGGATAAAGTTTTCATTAAGCAAATTAAAATCAACTGCTGAACAAGGAAGACCTAAAAGATAAGTGATCATAATTATTATTTATTTATAGCTTATTTGGATTAATTATGGAAGTATTTGAATGCCAACTATACTTTCAATTAATAGCCTACAGTATAAATGAATTTCCTAATATTTATATTGTGCCAGTATTTTCAAATTGGATAAAGTTACAATGTTTATTATGAATGAAATTCATCCTTCTGATAAGGTCTATACTGGCCAAATAAATCAAAGAATGAATATCTATAGAAGATGTCCCGCTTACACATTCATTAAACCACTTGAAGTCCAAGTCATTAAAGCTAAAATAAAACATCATAATACCTTCACAGAAAAATGGAATCATATTGCTGCCTTGAAAATTTTTTTTAAATCTTCTAACCAACTTGAATGTTCATTTATGACAAAGTATGTTTGAAATTATGAAAAATAAATTGCTGTAATGCTCACAGTTAATAGACTAACCAAAGAGGAATATAGCAGAGTGTATGCTTTTGGCAAACATGACAAAAAAACAAAATTTAAATAATATAGCTCAAATGCTAGTGATTATTTTGACCTTATACTAGATAGGAGAAAATAAAGAGACATTAAAAAAAGTCATACAAATAAAACATGAGGATCATTTGAACTTGGCAATATGCCCTTTGGTTCTCAAGTTTCTTGCTCTTGATAGAATGATCACCTCTGACCATAATACTCTCACATGCCCAACCCATAATATTCTTTTGCTTTGTAAAACCTAATAGGTTTCAAATCTTACAGCATTCTTAGTCTCATTTATCAATCGTTTCAAATGCAAGCCTAAAATTGCTAGCATTTATTTGAATATTAAAAGTGAACTTCACAATTCTTAGAGAAAAACTCTCCAGTCAGATTCCCTTGTGTTTCCTCACCCTCCTTCTCCCAAACCAGTTCCCTTTCTGCCCTTCACCAAGATTACTGTATTTTCTATTTTTTTTTCTTCTAAGAGATACATGGAAGAGGAAAAATCAATGAAAGCTTTTACCCTAAATCTTTTAAAAATATTTTGAAGTGAGAACATCTTAAAAATGGGTTTTTGGTGGGACACAAGAAGATTTAAAATTTTATAAGGAAGGTTAAGAAATGTCAGGTGGAGTTTTTTTCTCCTAAGCATTCCTTCTTCAGATTCTTAGAAAGTATGGTAAATATTAATCACAGGACAAAGAGCATCAAAATTGGTTGCAGATTAGCAGACATTCACTCGACAGTTTGTGGTTAGCAAGATGGATGGAAAGAAATAATGGATGAATTATTTGCAAGGAGCAACGTGAAAATTATTTCATTCTTCTGTGAATAAAGAATTGAAAATCGAACCTTGCATCTGTCATGTGCTTTCTCGGATATATGGGCAAATTGTTAACTGTTTTTGAGTCCTTATTCCTCACTGCAAAATATGTCTAATACTTACTTTATAAAATTTTTAGAATACGATGTAAGATAATATATGTACAATACGTAACAAAATATATAGTATATAGAAAACAAATAGTGGCTACCATTTGTATTAATAGTGGGGGAGTTTTAAGGGTTTCTTTTTGTGGTATTAAAACTGTCTCAGTCAGGTTCTATCACATTTGAGATGAATCAAACCTGAAAAAAAATTTAGGAGTGTTGTGATAATTCCATCTGTTACCATACTTTGTCAAGGTTCCTTCTAGAAAATTCCTGAGACCAACCCTCTTCCCTGCTTCTAGCATCCTTCATCTCCGATCTGGGTAATTTAAGTTGCAGTGGCTCACAGCTAAGTTCCTTACTTTCAGTTTCTAATTCATTTAACAAATATATGCCAATGGCAGATAAAACTTGCCCAAGAGTAATTCTAATTCTGTTTAAAACATTCAATGCCTCCTTATTTTCTACAGGAAGACCTAATTCTTTCGTTTTGCATTCATGATGATCTGTTCTATTGAATTGTCCCAAACAGTTGCCTCTACCTGACTTCTGAGCTTCCTTTCCACGGTAACTTTTGTTACAGTAGGTAGATAGATGTAAGCAGGGCAGGAGAGAGGGCCCAGAAATGTTGGGCATTTGTCAAGCCAGGGTCAGGCAGTTATAAATGTGTACTCTGAAATGGTGAGCAGGACAAGGTAGGGACCCCAGAGTTGTCTGATTCTCATCGAGGGGAAGAGTAGTGGGCATAAAACTAGGCCTCTAAGGTTGTAAATGGCCCATGACTGGCGCTGGGAATAACAGGGGTCTTACAACAGACAGAGGACACCTGAAGTTAGTAAGCCTGACAAGGTTTCCAGCATGTACAGTAAAAGTGCAAAAAAGTCAAATTTAACCAGTACCTGACCTTCCTTTGTGGGCCCTTGACCTTTAAGGACGAATTGCCTCTAATGGGCCTGCGCATGACTTCAGTAAGCACACTGCGCATGCGGCCCCAACAAAGTGCTGGCAGAACCATGTAATACACCATAATTGAGCGACAGACTGCCCAGAGGAAGAACGAAGGGTGGAGGCAAAGAGCCCAGGAAAAGATAAGGGTTATAAAAACTCAGAACAAAGATGCAGCCAAGGCACCTGATTTTTCAAGTTGCCTGCTTGGCTATCCTCCAGGTGTAATCTACTTTCTCCAAGAAACTCTCACTTCTCTTGAAATAAACTTTCCCTCCTGCTTTAAAGCTTGCCTGTGTATCTCATTTGAATTATTTCCTTCCAGAAGACAAAGGACTGAGATCTGCAAAGTCTCCCCTCTGGAGTTTCTCAGGATAACTGCAGACTCACATTCCGGTAACACTTTGTACCAGATAAATTGACGTATTTATTTCCTGCCAAATATGCCTTATAACTTCTTATATATATTTCTCTGCTTATTCAGTTTTCTTTATTCAGAATTTTTTTTCTCTGTACAAGTTAAATATCAATGTATACTTAAACCCTCTAAACAGCTATCTTCTTGTTCAAAATTATTTTCCGCATACCTTAATATTGAAGTGAAGCTCTTTTTCAGTTGAACCTTCCTAATACTGAATCTGCATCATTCTAACATGTAGATTCTGTGTCTGCATTTGTCATGAATTCCTGTATTAGGCAGAGCTTCTTGAGAGTGGACGCTGTTTGGCTTTTTAGGTTTCTCCAGGTGACCTAGAACACTTGTATATCTCAGTTACTTGATGGCAAAATCCTTTTCCTGCCTCCAAGTGCTGACATCTTTCTAATATATAATAACACTGTCAAACTTAACAAACACCCTACTGTCCTACAGAATAACTGGCTTCCATAAAACTTAAAATTGCAAGGTCCCAGCATTTTGGAAATTTTTGAAAAAAAAGTTTTCAGATAAAAATCTTTCTTTCATATCATTTCTTAATCTGGGCTATCTCATGTATTATGCCTTATAAATACATTTTGAAACACTGAAGGTGAGAACCTGTAAATGTACTTGTCAATGCAGGAAACTTTGTTTTGGAAATGATTTGCATTGTTCCAAGATCAAATGTTTTCAGTTCTTTTTGATCATACTTATCCAGGGCCACTTTTGCAGAATAACAGTTTTCTCACATCTCACTCTCACCATTAGAAGTGCAATATAAAGGCTGGCTTCTGGGTTACATCTACTGCAAATGGAACTAATTGAATGCTAAAAGACTGACAAGAGGTTTAACATTTGGAAGAAATTATTTTGTAGGATTTGGGAATAGATGGCCTGTAATGAAGTAGGCTACAACCCATGATGGAAGTTTAAATAACATTTACTTCATCACTGTGATTTTTACTGACTCAGATGCATAATGTGTATAATATACAGTTTCAAGATTTAAGACAACACGAAGTATTACTGGTTTTTTTCAATATTTTATAAGCTGAGTGATGAGTAAACTAAAATAATATGATCATATGCCTTAAGAAGTAGAAAACATCAAGGTAAATTATAACACTAGGTTTGACATTGAAAGATTTGATTTCTAGAACCAGACTCAATCTGAATTTTATATAATTTGGGGCAAATCTATTAACATTTTAAGTTTGTTTCTTTCAACCATGAAATTAGGAAAAAGTGACATCAACCTTTGTTATTTTCCAGAAATTTAGCTAAGGCAAATTGAAATAATATATGCTTTAGTTTGTAAACTATAATGTGAGGTAAGTAAAAGTGTGATTTTACTAAAGAGAATTGGATTATAATAAAAATAATAGAACATTTAGCATAAATTTGGATGATTGTAAAAGTGGATGTGTTCTTTGGTTTTGTTTTTTAATAAATCTCACATATAACACTTCCTAAGAATCTATTGAATTTTCCCTGACTGCATAAAGCAGTATAAGATAGCAGATAGATATCAAAAAGAATTTATGTATTAGAATAGATCAAATAAACACATGTGAAATAACTTTAGACTTCAAAGCTAATGTCAACGTTTTGAGAATGTGGTAATAGGCTTAAAGTAAGGACAAACTCAGTCTCAGTCATGATAAATCAGAGAAGACATCAGCAGGCAGGTTTATCTTGTGCTGGCCATTAAATAGTTTGTAGAACACATACTTTGCACAAATGGCAGAACCTTATAAATAAGTCAGAAGGAAAAAAAAATCAAGGCCTATTTCATGAACAGCAAGGAAAAGAAACCAGCTGTAGCCAAAGAGGAGTGAAAACCAAGCTTGAATTAGTCATAAAGTTTCCATAGACCACAATTTGCAAGATCTAGGAATAAATTTCATTCATGTCAAGTACAGTTTCTGCAATGGTCTCTGAATAAAAAAGCAATGATGATTTTTAAAAAATGGATACCAACGAAAAATAAGCAAATAAACAACAAACTCTATGTTAATCGGATATGCTTCCGAATCCAATAGAAGAAAATCAGGTCTAAGTAAGAACAAAGCTGTGATTTTCCTAGTTTCAATGTTATCTTTAGATTTACATCATTTCTAAACATAATATGTCTGACAGCATTGCTATTTCTCAGTTTCTCAAAAATATAACTACCGTGGGGATTATTGGAAATATGTTGATAAAGGACAATTGTCAAGCAACCTTCATTATAATGTGAGCTATACTTCATACAATTCAGATAAAGGTCTTAGAACCCCTGATACTCACCTGGCATCAATCAAAATAATAAACCTGCTTTTGCAGACTATGTCTCGTCTGCGTTCCCAGTATGTATTGAGTTGAGGATTAAAACAAATCTGCACTATTTCTGGGAACATTTGAGAGATAGCTTAACTCTCATCATCATAAGTGGATTTGCCTCTGAGGAGCTAGCTAAGCAGAAAGGCAGGATAATAGAATGGAGAAGAGGCTGGACTGTGGAGTGAGTCACTTGATCTGAATCTGCCATGCATGTATAGGAGACCTTGGGAAAATTACTTTTTCTCTCTAAGCCTCAGTTTTCACCAACGTAAAACTGAGAAGTTCAAATGTATCTCAGACGCTATTTACAAATTTAAAATAATTGTTTTTTATTGTTACATAGTACTTATCATAATGCCTGATACGCAGAAAATGTACAATATATGGTAACTAATTATAGATCACTAGATCTCAAGATTGCCTCGTTTTCCGAAAGCAATGTTACTATGCATATCAATTTGCATTAGGTGTTAGAAGGTTGTCAACCCCTTTTTACACTGAAAGGCACCATAAGGCTTAGAAGTTACATTTAGACTTGTAAATTAGGTTACAAGCTCTTTGCAGTCAGGGACAAAATCTTATTTGACTTCTTCATCCCTAGTTCCTAACAAAGTGCCTAGTAAATAGTATGGCATGTGGGAATAGACCAATTTAGATAACTTCAGTTGTTAAATGAGAAACAAGTCTGAAGGGCTTGACACAACTAGCTTTGAATTGAGCTGTGATACTCTTCAGTACATCAGGGAACTAAAACAATCATGCTGGGCTGACAAGTTCCCACAACGCTTCTGACCCAAAGTAGCTGTTACACATTACGAACTGTTGCTGCTGTTTTCTTCCAGGGTCTTTTCCACTTTATTGTGCAATGATACTATTTTTGTAAAATTGAAAGGTATTCTTTTTTAATACATGCAGCAGGAAAAATACTCATTGCTAATGTTAGCAATAACAAAAAAATGCACACTTTTTACCATTCAGATATAAAAAGCATTAACATTTTGAAGAGTATGCCATGTACCCCCCTATGCATATGTGCAGATTTGCCTAGATAGACAAATATATTAAATGTGAAGACACATTAAAGCTGCTATTTTTAAATTACAGATATTTTCATCAGAATGTAGGGAATAAATAAAAACACTAAATTCAATCTGATCTAAATTCAATCTGATCAAATTGCTGAGATTCAGATAAGTATTTTCACATAAAGGAAATATTAATTTCTTTAAAAAATAGTGAGGGCAAACTATTTTAATAATAATAGCAACACATTACTTGCCCTTTCTACTCTGTTGACATTTATACTGGCGGTGTCAAAGTGGATGGTGGTTAAAACTACTGGCACCTTATCAAAAATCAAGGCAGTGACACATCAAATTGTATTAGCATTCATATTACACACATTTGTAGTGGGTATGGGGTGTGTGATTTCTTTAAGAATGTCTTTGATATATCAGTAAAATTAATAATTTTATAAATTCTGGACCTTGGAGTATACATCTTTTTATTTTTTATTATTTTATTTTATTTATTTATTTTTGAGATGAAGTCTCCCTCTGTCTCCCAGGCTGGAATGCAGTGGAACACAGTCTTGGCTCACTGCAATCTCCGCCTCCCAAGTTTCAACCGATTCTCTGGCCTCAGCCTCCCGAGTAGCTAGGATTACAGACATGTGCCACTATGCCCAGCTAATTTTTGTATTTTTAGTAGAGACAGGGTTTCACCATGTTGACCAGGCTGGTCTCGAACTCCTGACCTCAACCACCCGCCCTGGTCTCCCAAAGTGCTAGGATTACAGGAGTGAGCCACTGCACCCAGCCGTATACATCATTTTTTAAATATTTGGTGTTACAAAATGGGATGATAATGCATTCCTTTTACGTATGGAAGTTGTATTTAAAAAATATTCTTCTGTATTCATTTTCTAATTGTTTTTGATAAGTTTTTAATCTATATAGTTAGGGGTATCTATCTGTAGTGGGTTTTTTTGGTGCTGTATTTTTTGGGTTTTCGTATCAGAGTAATGCTGTTCACTTACAAAAGAAATTTTGCATATGTGAAAATTAGTGATAATGCCATGTTAGTCATGTGTACATTTAACTTCAGAGTTCTTATATATCATGTTATCAATTTAATATATGCACGTGGACATAGGCGATATGGAAGAATTCATGATTAATACTAAAAGCCCGTATTACATCCTTCATTAGAACAATGTGCAGTCTCCAAAAGAAAACTAATTTTAATTTATAAAATAAAATTAAATTTTGTTATAAACAGAATAAAAAATGGGAAATGTAATATCATCAGCCCTTCATTTAAACTGTACAAATATAAACATAATGCTACATTATAACTATATGTTAAAAATGTAAAGAAAATAGCATATTATAATCAGATTTTAAATCTATAAGCGTATCACCAAATTATGATCAGATTTTATACAATACAATTTGTTTAAAACTTATCTGACCATTTACTAACATTAATTCCCAATAGATTTTATTACTAAAATTTATGTAATGTTTTCTGTTTTGAATTATTTTCAGTGAGAACTCTTCTGTTGTTCTTTGTTCCTCTGTACACAATGTTTCTATTTTCTCTGTTTTAAAGATATTTTTTCATTATTGGTATTAAGGAAATTGGTTATGTTTTGAGTTCATGTATTATTCTGTTTCTTATTTGTAAAGTGCATTGAGGTGTTACTCAATTGATAGATGGATTTATTGTTTTTATCAAATTAGGAAATATTTTGATATCTATTTCCTCAGATTTTTTTCTGTCATTCCCTTTCCCTGAGGACATCTTTATTGTATCTTAAAGTTTTTTTATTCAACTCACCGATGCTATTTTTTTCATTTTGTCTGTTTATATTTCGTATTTGTTTCATTTTTGATAGTTTCTATAGCTGTAAATAAGATTTTTTTCTCCACTATCTAATCTTCTGCTAATACCTGTATTAAATTCCTAAGGTTCTGTAATAAATTACCACAAACTGAATGGCTTTAAAAAACTACTCTGTCACAGTTTTGGAGGCTAGGAGTTCAAAACTGAAGTGTCATTATGCCCACACGTTCTCTGGAGGATTTCAGGGAGGTTCATTTCTTGCCCCTGCCAGGTTCTGGCAGTCTTCAGCATCCCTCGGTTTATTGCACTCTTGATTCCTTCTTCACATCGACTTCCCCTCTGTGTAGCTCTTTTTAACTCTGCATCTTTACCCAGATAATCCAGGATGAAATCTTCATCTCAAGATTTTTAACTAAACGACATCTACAAAATTTCCTTTTCCAAATAATGTAACATTCAGAGGCTCTGGGGATTAAAACATAGACATATAATTTGTGGACCAACTGCTCATCACTCCATAGAGTCTATTTTTCATCTCAGACCTTTGATTTTCCATCTCTAGAAATGTGGAGGATCTTTTACTATAACTTTCACGTTCCCAGTTAATATATTCATCTCCATTTTGAATGCATTTAATATTTTTATAATAATGGTTTTACGTTCTTTTCCCTCTTATGATTGTTGCTACAACAGGATTTTTCTTTTTCAAACTCAACTTTGTATTTTCATTATATAGTACTATGTATTTTGTTAGCCATAAATGCTGTGCTATTTTGCCTGGAGAGAAATCTGTGTTATCTTGGCCTGCCATATGAATCAGAATTGAAGCCTAATTTTCTAATTTTATTTTTATTTCTTAGTTTACCATTGCCATCAGCTATTGGTTAACAAATCTACACAATTTGTCTGCCGTTGCATGTGAACATTTAATTCAGATTTTCCTATTTCTTCTCAATACTTTATATTATTTGAGTGTCCCCATAAGTAAAACTACTATATCCAAATGCTTATCATCAATATAAGAGAAATATACCTTTTTAAATTCTAAAATTAATTATATCAATTAATTTTTATCTAATAATAATTGCCATTAACATTATTTTACAATGCATATGGTAGTGTGGCAGTATACTTACTCTGTGTGCCAAGTGTGAACATTTTGCCCTCATACACTTTCTCTGCTCTATTACTTTTTCTGCTAAGCATCACAGGGTGAGTGAACCTCACGAGCTGTGTCCTGTGAAAGTTCATGCCAACTCATTTCTGGCTGATTTTCTCCAATGAGGGGTGCTGGTAAGATATTACAAAATGAGAGGGTCAGAGAGGCTGGTACTTCCTTTCCTTGCTTTTAGCCTCTTCTTGTCATTGCTGCCTTTTTTTCTGGGTGCCTAAGAGATGCCCAAGCAGATCCCTGTGATTCTACCTTTTGTATGTTGGTCCTGTCTTCTGGGCTCTGGTGATACTCTTTCTTTTTCTCAGCTATTTATTATCTATGAAACAAGTTATCTATGTCAAATTCTCACTGTTTTAATAACTTAAGAGTAGTTCTTTATCTCCTAAATGAACTATCACTAAAGCCATTTATTGAAGAATTGTTAGTAGAATATTACTTTTCCAAGTTTTTTTTCCTAAGGAAATGGGTAAGTTTAAATAGATAAATTAGTAAAATAAGATGTCCCAGAATATCTCAATGGGATGAGACTGCATAGCCTTAAGAACAATAGACAAATGTGTGATATTAACTAGTACAATCATGTGACTATTAATAATTAGGGCAACAGTCAGCTAGCATTAATCTCAGTATACAGAGAGAATATGAATGAGAAGTCCTCAAAGTGTTTAAGAATGAGTAAACAGCTGCCAGCAAAATAAACCATTTTAAAAGGTATTGTAACTGAAAACCAGAATGCCCAATAAGATGGGGTGATTATATAATATACCCAAGGGTACCAGAAGGAGCTGCATCTTAAGGAAGTTGGAGATAACTGTCTTAGAAAAAAATAACACAGATAATAAATAATAATAAATATAATATATTTAATATAAATAATAACATAATATTATAAATAATAAATATATGGTTAAAAGTATAGTTAGTAACTGGTATATAGCTAATTTAAAAGGGTTATATTTAAAAATAAATACAGAAGCATAAAGCTGTAATTCTTTATATAATCTTGAGAGCATAACATTCGATTTTTCTACTTTATTTGAAAAAGAAATGAAATCTAATAAAACAAATTAAATCATATTAAAAAGTAAAATGACCTGAAGTCCACCTAGGAATCTGTAGACTCAGTCTAGAGGTCAGATATTTGCCTCTTATTTCCTTCTTTATTCCACTATTTGTCTATTTACAAAATGGTTATGGACAAGATAATTTTAATTGAAAGGTCATTGCAAAGGATGTTAAAGGGGTTTGGGTTAACCTGATGACAGTGTTTCCACAAGCATAGTCCACAAAAAAGTCACTTTGGAAGTTGTTATAATATCTCTTACTGCACCCTCCAAACCCATTAAATGAAGCAAAATTCTTGGAGTGGGTCTTGGCAATCTGCATCACTAACAAGCTTCTCAAGCAACTCTTATGTGTAATAAACTTGGAGACCCTTAGACCTAAAGAGATGCCATTGATTAGACGCTTGACTAAAGAGAGGGTTATGTTTCTAGTGAATAGTATGAGATATCAATCACAGGTATCTTTAAATATAGGATTTTAAAAAATCTGCTCCAAGTAGATAAGCATAGCTATGCCTGGAGGTGACCTTCGGTTTTGAGACTGTTTTTTTTTTTTCTTTTAAAGCAGGATTAATCACCTATCACTGAGTGGGTGTTAGTTCTAAGTAGTTCAATTATTTTCACATTCCACATAATTTTGTTTATGACTCATCAAGGCTAGGCAGCTTTAAAAACAAATTTTACTTGTTCTAACAAATGATCATCATGTATACACAATACACTTGCTTTGACCTCAAGTTGCATTTAATTTGTAAAACCACCATTCATACATGCCAGGTGTCTAATTATTTGATAAAAACACAAATAGGTCCCAGTGCAGCCACAAGACTGTCCCCCAGCTTTATCTTCTGTCCTCATTACTCAGGATATATCTATCGTTAATTTCACAAAACTAAAAAAGTTTATGTATTCAGGGATTGAGAACTATGGGCATCTCCATGGCTTTCTGGGATACTTGACTGGCTTGTCTATGTAAAAATAACTTCAAAACGGACCTTGAGGAAAGCGTTGCAGAAGAAAAAAAGCTAAGAATGTTTTAAAAAGGGACAAAATACACTAGTTGTGGCAGAAAATATATCAAATTATTACTGTTTTTTAAATATTTGTTTCTAAAACCAAATACCTTTTACATATAATGGCAAGAATAAACAAAAACAACTCCCCCTTTTCCAGGGAGAAAAAATCTAAAATCATTACCTAGTTGACTTTAGTTCAAAGTCTAAATTAGGACACCTCATGATCTTGTTTCATAAGTTGAATATTTTTGGGGGGAAAATAAGAAAATTTGGAGTCTAACCTAAGACATGGATAAAGATTATAAATTCAAAGTTTTACACTAAGAATTAGAAAGCTATATTCGCATTTTGCATTGGTTATATGAGAAGAAACAATAAAATTAATTTGTGTGTGGGTAACTTCACTACAATATTATCCTTGGTAGTCTCTACTCATTCTGGTCCTTTAAAAGATGGCAAATAAATTGGCCATCACCAAAAATGAGGCTTACCAGAAAGGAGGAAAAAGTCAACTTCTTGTATTGTGGCTAAAATGTGACATTTTTATTCATTAGTTGAGAGGCCCCTTCTTTTGAAGTGCATAAGGTATTTTTTGCTGATTCGGATTTAATGGTACCTTGGTTAATTCCTGAACAAATTCAGTTTCATTTTCAATCCATGTAACACAGAATTTTAAGCATTTCCTGTGTTGTCTGTAGATTTTTTTTATTATTATTATACTTTAAGTTCTAGGGTACATGTGCACAAAGTTCAGGTTTGTTACATATGTATAACATAAGCCATGGTGGTTTGCAGCACCCATTAACTCATCATTTACATTAGATATTTCTCCTAATCCCTCCCCCTTCCTCCAACCCCAAGACAGGCCCCAGTGTGTGATGTTCCCCACCCTGTGTCCAAGTGTTCTCATTGTTCAATTCCCACCTATGAGTGAGAACATGCGGTGTTTGGTTTTCTGTCCTTGTGACACTTTGCTTAGAATGATGGTTTCCAGCCTCATCCATGTCCCTACAAAGGACATGAACTCATCATTTTTTATGGCTGAATACTATTCTATGGTGTATATGTGCCACATTTTGTTAATCTAGTCTATCATTGATGGACATTTATGTTGGTTCCAAGTCTTTGCTAATGTGAATAGTGCTGCAATAAACATATGTATGCATGTCTTTATAGCAACATGATTTATAATCCTTTCAGTATATACCCAGTAATGGGATCGCTGGGTCAATTGGTATTTCTAGTTCTAGATTCTTGAGGAATTGCCACACTGTCTTCCACAATGGTTGAACTAGTTTACAGTCTTACCAACACTGTAAAAGTGTTCCTATCTCTCCATATTCTCTCCGGCACCTGTTGTTTCCTGACTTTTTCATGATCGCCATTCTAACTGGTGTGAGATGGTATCTCATTGTGGTTTTGATGTGCATTTCTCTGATGGCCAGTGATGATGAGCATTTTTGCATGTGTCTGTTGGCTGCATAAATGTCTTCTTTTGAGAAGTGTCTGTTCATATCCTTCACCCACTTTTTGATGGGGTTGTTTGATTTTTTCTTTTAAATTTGTTTAAATTCTTTGTAGATTCTGGATATTAGCCCTTTGTCAGATGGGTAGATTGCAAAAATTTTCTCCCATTCTGTAGGTTGCCTGTTCACTCTGATGGTAGTTTCTTTTGCTGTGCAGAAGCTCTTTAGTTTAATTAGATCCCATTTGTGTATTTTGGCTTTTGTTGCCATTGCTTTTGGTGTTTTAGTCATGAAGTCCTCGCCCATGCCCATGTCCTGCATGGCATTGCCTAGGTTTTCTTCTAGGGTTTTTATGGTTTTAGGTCTAACATTTAAGTCTTTAATCCAGGTTGAATTAATTTTTGTATAAGGTGTAAGGAAAGGATCGTTTCAGCTTTCTACATATGGCTAGCCAGTTTTCCCAGCACCATTTATTAAATAAGGAATCCTTTTTCCATTTCTTGTTTTTGTCAGGTTTGTCAAAGATCAGGTGGTTGTAGATGTGTGGTATTGTTTCTGAGGGCTCTGTTCTGTTCCATTGGTCTATATCTCTGTTTTGGTACCAATACCATGCTGTTTTGGTTACTGTATCCTTGTTGTATAGTTTGAAGTCAGGTAGCATGATGCCTCCAGCTTTGTTCTTTTGGCTTAGGATTGACTTGGCAATGCAGGCTCTTTTTTGGTTCCATATGAACTTTAAAGTAGTTTTTTCCAATTCTGTGAAGAAAGTCATTGGTAGCTTGATGGGGATGGCATTGAATCTATAAATTACCTTGGGCAGTATGGCCATTTTCACAATATTGATTCTTCCTATCCATGAGCATGGAATGTTCTTCCATTTGTTTGTGTCCTCCTTTATTTCGTTGAGCAGTGGTTTGTAGTTCTCCTTGAAGAGGTCCTTCACATCCCTTGTAAGTTGGATTCCTAGGTATTTTATTCTCTTTGAAGCAATTGTGAATGGGAGTTCATTCATGATTTGGCTCTCTGTTTGTCTGTTATTGGTGTATAAGAATGCTTGCGATTTTTGCACATTGATTTTGTATCCAGAGACTTTGCTGAAGTTGCTTATCAGCTTAAGGAGATTTTGGGCTGAGACAACGGGGTTTTCTAAATATACAATTATGTCATCTGCAAACATGGACAATTTGACTTCCTCTTTTCCTAATCGAATACTCTTTATTTCTTTCTCCTGCCTGATTGCCCTGGCCAGAACTTCCAACACTATGTTGAATAGGAGTGGTGAGAGAGGGCATCCCTGTCTTGTGCCAGTTTTCAAATGGAATGCTTCCAGTTTTTGCCCATTCAGTATGATATTGGCTGTGGGTTTGTCATAAATAGCTCTTATTATTTTGAGATACGTCCCATCAATACCTAGTTTATTGATAGTTTTTAGCATGAAGGGCTGTTAAATTTTTTCGAAGGCCTTTTCTGCATCTATTGAGATAATCATGTGGTTTTTGTCTTTGTTTGTGTTTATATGCTGGATTACGTTTATTGATTTGCATATGTTGAACCCGCCTTGCATCCCAGGGATGAAGCCCACTTGATCAGAGTGGATAAGCTTTTTGATGTGCTGCTGGATTCGGTTTGCCAGTATTTTATTGAGGAGTTTTGCATCGATGTTCATCAGGGATATTGGTCTAAAATTCTCTTTTTTTGTTGTGTCTCTGCCAGGCTTTGGTATCAGGATGATGCTGGCCTCATAAATGAGTTAGGGAGGATTCCCTCTTTTTCTATTGATTGGAATAGTTTCAGAAGGAATAGTACCAGCTCCTCTTTTTACCTCTGGTAGAATTTGGCTGTGAATCCGTCTGGTCCTGGCCTTTTTTTTGGTTGGTAGGCTATTAACTATTGCCTCAATTTCAGAGCCTGTTATTGGTCTATTCAGGGATTCAACGTCTTCCTAGTTTAGTCTTGGGAGGGTGTATGTGTCCAGGAATTTGTCCATTTCTTCTAGATTTTCTAGTTTATTTGCATAGCTGTGTTCACAGTATTCTCTGATGGTTGTTTGTATTTCTGTGGGATTGGTGGTGATATCCCCTTTATCATTTTTTATTGTGTCTATTTGATTCTTCTTTCTTTTCTTCTTTATTAGCTTTACTAGTGGCCTATCAATTTCGTTGATCTTTTCAAAAACCAGCTCCTGGATTCACTGATTTTTTGAAGGGTTTTTTTTTTGTCTCTATCTCCTTCAGTTCTGCTCTGATCTTAGTTATTTCTTGCCTTCAGCTAGCTTTTGAATGTGTTTGCTCTTGCTTCTCTAGTTCTTTTAATTGTGATGTTAGGGTGTTGATTTTAAATCTTTCCTGCTTTCTCTTGTGGGCTTTTAGTGCTATAAATTTCCCTCTACACACTGCTTTAAATGTGTCCCAGAGATTCTGGTATGTTGTGTCTTTGTTCTCATTGGTTTCAAAGAACATCTTTATTTCTGCCTTCATTTTGTTATTTACCCAGTAGTCATTCAGGAGCATGTTGTTCAGTTTCCATGTAGTTGTGCGGTTTTAAGTGAGTTTCTTAATTCTGAGTTCTAATTTGATTGCACTGTGGTATGAGAGACAGTTTGTTATAATTTCTGTTCTTTTACATTTGCTGAGGAGTGCTTTACTTCCAACTATGTGGTCAATTTTGGAATAAGCATGATGCGGTACTGAGAAGAATGTATATTCTGTTGATTTGGGGTGGAGAGTTCTGTAGATGTCTATTAGGTGCACTTGGTGCAGAGCTGAGTTCAGGTCATGGATATCCTTGCTAACTTTCCGTCTCATTGATCTGTCTAATGGTACTGTGAGGTGATGATTGTTCCCTACCTTTCTCTCTCATTAGCCGGTAAGCTCTGCAAGGGCATGGCCAGTGCCTGTCTTTCAATCGTTCATTCAGAAACACAATTTAAGTTCTCCCTTGGTCCAGACACTATGCCAAGAACTGAGGGATACAGCAGTGAGTAAGATAGGCAAGAACTATCCTAAATATATCTGCACCAAATACAGGAGCACCCAGATTCATAAAGCAAGTCCTTAGAGACCTATAAAGAGACTTAGACTCCCACACAATAATAATGGGAGACTTTAACACCCCGTTGCCTGTAGATTTTAAGAAAGTAACCTCTTGCATTAGATGCATTCACATGTTTTACATATTCTGGAAGGAGCTTCATTTTTGATACGTGTGATAGATTGAATTTCTGGCAATTTATATTCTTGTACATAAATTGCTATATGTTACCCTTGTATTCACTTTGTGCTTTACATTGTATGTTTTCTTAATTGGATTTGAGATCTTTTTCTACACTTTTGTATATCATGCACACATTGCACACATAACTATATATATTTTCTTTGCTCCAAGATTCACAAATTTTTACTTACAGTCCCTAACAGTTTTGAATTACCTGTCCAGAGAAAACATCTTTCTCTGCAGTCTATATAGTCAATATAGAAAATAGGCTTTTTATATTAGGAATTGTCAGAAGCAATGTTATTTAAAGGGGGTGACTACAAATAATTAAACCTAAATAATATAAAATTTAATATTAGATTTAAACATATGAATTTTAGACATGCTTTATGTTAGAAAAGTACTCGGCTAGATTTTGGCATAAGCTCAGATGTATGTGTAAATTTTGGTATTTGAATGATGTGAATATTAAAGTCACAGGCATTTGTAACTTACTCTATCATGTTTGTGATGTTAGGCAATAAATATACTAATACATCACTTTATTCACCTGTAAGATAGGAATTATAGTAATAATACTATTTTCCATATTTATTGTAAGGGATGCATTATATGTCATGTCAGGATTTCTGATGGATAATAAATGCTCATATATTAGCTCTTATTATGTTTCTTTTCTTCTCTTTTTTTTTTTTTTGAGAGAGAGTCTCACTTTGTTGTGCAGGCTGAAGTGCAGTGGTGCAATCTCAGCTCACTGCAACCTCTGTTTCCCAAGTTCAAGCAATTCTTCTGCCTAGTCTCCCACGTAGCTGGGATTATAGGCGCATGCCACCATGCCCAGGTAATTTTTTGTATTTTTAGTAGAGACAGGGTTTTACCGTGTTGGTCAGGCTGGTCTTGAACTTCTGACTTCGGGTTATCCACCCGCCTCAGCCTCCCAAAGTGCTTGAATTACAGGCATGAGGCATGAGCCACAGTGGCTGGCCATGTTTTTGTTAGGTTTTTGAATCATAGTGTTCTGGCTGGAATTATGTATATCCCCCAAAAATATGTTGAAGTCCTAATCACTAGTACTTGCAATTGTAACCTTGTTTGCAAATAGAGTCTTTGCATGTATAATCAGGTTAAAATGAGGTCATACTTAATTAAGGTAGGCCTTAATTCAATATGACTGGTGTCTATATCAGAAGAGAGGCGACACTAAGAAACAGAGGAAGGGAATGTCATGTGATGATGGAGGCAAAGAACAGGGTGATGCATCTAGAGCCAAGTAACAACATGGATTGCTGGAAGCTTCCAGAAGCTAGGAGAAAAACATGGAACAAGTAGGTTCTTCTTCACTACTTTCTGAAAGAGGCCATCCTGCCTTGATTTCACCCTTCTAGCATTCAGAACCATATATAATAAATGAATTGTTTTAAGCCACCCAAATTCTTGTACATTGTTCTGACAGCATTAAGAAACTCATACACAGTATACTAAAATTATAGCCATATATGCAGTTACATTTCAATGGTTAACATTAGTGAACTCACTCCATGTACCAGTCTGCTTGGGGAGCAGGACAAAAATGTAAATGTAGAGAGATGACAACCAAGAAAATAAATGAGATAGTCAGCTTTCAAGTGAGGGCAGCCATATTGTGAACCATTCAGACAGACATCTAACAAAAGGAAATGGAATAGTTGTGTGCTAATCAGAAAAGTTAAATGCAGGGATTTAGTAACAGGGATGAATCCAATAAGACTGTGAAATATATTAGAGCTATTTATTCTAGCTTTGCAAAATACTGTCAAATGCTATAACTTGGAATTGCATCATCACGTGCTACTGATCTAGATCTCAGAAATCACTTATTTATCAATAAATTTTTTAGTTCACAAAAGCCTTTGATCTTAGACAGGACAGCTAATCTTAGGAATAGGAGTAGATTTTTGCCTAGGATAAAAGTGATGTGGTGGCAGGTAATTCTGCAGCAAATTAGAGAACTATTTTCAAATTCCACTCATAACCTCTTCAGGATTTTTATCATTACCATAGTATTCTATGAGTATTGTTAAAAAAATCTAAATTTTGAATAATTATACATACACATATATGTGTATCAGATCTTATTATATGTCAAAAGTTGTCCCTTTTAGTTTATCGTGAATTTCCATCCTTTCATCAGGTTAGAGATTTTCATTCAAATAAACTGGAAGAAGTAATATAAATATTTGTATAAAGATGTCTAGAAATTAGAAAAAAATGTTATTTAGATAATGGAAGTGATCACTGATTCTACTGAACTAATAAAATACTTTGACTTGGGGTTTTGTTAAAACTCAAATCTTAGTCATATTGATTTTTTTCCATCACTGTGTTGGAATTTCCATAGGTACCTGACTCATTCTATTTGTCAGTTTCAGTGAGTTTTTTTTTTTTTTTTTGTCTTTTAGCTTTAGTTGAAACTAGATATAGTAGGCATAGGCATCCATAGAGCAACAAAATAAGTATGTATAATTTCATGCTTATTTCTATCCTCTATTTCATTCTATGTTAAATTTGTGCTGTTTAAGGAACTTAAAACATTTTTTGCAAAAGCATTCCATCCAACATGCTCTATAGATACAACATGTAACATAAATTCCACCAATCATACGTAGAAACACACACACACACACGTGCATAGTGTTGATCCCATCTACAAAAGACATCCTCAACAATCATAAGAATCTCTATTATATGGGTAAAGTGAGTGTCATGTGTTATGTGACAACTTAGATTAAATATTGTTTTTCTACATTTGTAACAAAATACCCATTATTTAAAGAAGTTGATCAATTTATAATTTGTTCTCAAACTCTAACCATAATAAATGTATAAAATGGAAAATGTACTTTAGTAAAGTGGTAATTAAAATTCAATATAAAGGTTATTTTTACTAATTAATGAATTTTACATTTAGGCTTTCTATGGTTTTCAATACAGATAGCAAAAAGTCAAGTAATAATGTAGTTTCTCTGTACAATACGAGCAGATTTTAAAGTTTCTTGAGGAGACATAAGAAGTCACCCTTTAAATCTTAAGTCCTTCGTTCTTATTTCAATAGATCAGTAATATTTTACACTTTAACTTTGTTAACATATATTTAAATTGTGTTTTTATCATGTTAAAATAATTGGTGAAATATTCATTTAAAATAAATCAACACTTGATACAGATTCGGATTCAATTATCATCCAGAACTTACTATGAAAGAAATATTCAGTTTCTTATTGAATTTCTCATATTGTCAGTAATGTTTCACAAAAGTAAACTTATCAATCAAATACATTTAGATATGTCTTCTACCCCTTTCTTGTAAAACCTGAGATTTGTATTCAGAGTATAGTTTTTTAATAGCCAGCTCCTATTAAAGAGCTCCCACAACTTTTTCTTCAAGACTAGAATCATCTCCCATTAAGAGAGAGGGTATTCACGAGCATTCATACTTTCTCAGGAGCTCTAGGACTCTGCAGGTGGCTGGAGATAAGAATGGTGAGTCATTGGCGAAATAGGCAAAAATCTGACCTCTTTTTTTCTTCCCTAACTATACACAGCTCCACACTTTGTACAGCTAGCTTTAAACAAATAAATAAACATGATACAGATTATGCATTTGACAAAACAATTACACGCAGGATTTACACATAAGTTGGAGTGTTAAATGCTAAATGAAAAAAAAGAGCCTTAGCCAGGCACGGTGGGTCACACTTCTTATCCCAGCACTTTGGGAGGCCGAGGCAGGCGGATCACCTGAGGGCAGGAGTTCGAGACCAACCTGGCTAACACTGTGAAACCACGTCTCTACTAAAAAAATACAAAAAATTGCCGGCCGTGATGGCGGGCGCCTGTAGTCCCAGCAACTTGGAAGGCTGAGGCAGGAGAATGGCGTGAACCCGGGAGGCGGAGCTTGCAGTGAGCCGAGATCGCGCCACTGAACTCCAGCCTGGGTGAGAGAGTGAGACTCCGTCTCAAAATAAATAAATAAATAAATAAATAATAAAAAAGGAAAGAAGAAAATAAAGAGCCTCATGTTGAAAAATGTTTAAGAATTTCAAGACGGCAATAGCACAACATTAAGCCGTGTGTGGAGCCCTGTGACGCCGTGTAAGTTACATGTCTGGGAAGGCAGCAGCCCTGTTTTAGGAGGTTCTGAGGAGCTATGTTGGATTGGATGAATCAAATGCTTCCAATCTTTCAAAGATTATCTCATATTTTCCCCCTTCTGCCCGTAAGAACAGGAACAGCGTTTCACTGGCCCCTTTTTCCTAATGCTGTTAATACCGTAAACAACACCCCTGCCTACATCTTCCATTGTTCAACTTCCACGAATCCATATGGAGAAGAAATCTAAACCAATCAGCTTTCCTACAAAGCCTTGCTCAAAACAATTATTCCATGATTAGAGTTGAGTCTTAATAAACAGCAATATTTGACAGTTCTTTAGAGCTTTATATGTGGTAGGCACTGTTCTGAGGCTTTACGTGTTGTCTTAGTCTATTTGGGCTGCTGTAACAAAATACTATTACCTGGGTGGCTTATAAAGAGCTATAAATCATGCTGCTATAAAGACACATGCACACGTATGTTTATTGCGGCACTATTCACAATAGCAAAGACTTGGAACCAACCCAAATGTCCAACAATGATAGACTGGATTAAGAAAATGTGGCACATATACACCATGGAATACTATGCAGCCATAAAAAATGATGAGTTCATGTCCTTTGTAGGGACATGGATGAAATTGGAAACCATCATTCTCAGTAAACTATCGCAAGAACAAAAAACCAAACACCGCATATTCTCACTCATAGGTGGGAATTGAACAATGAGATCACATGGACACAGGAAGGGGAATATCACACTCTGGGGTCTGTGGTGGGGTGAGGGGAGGGGGGAGGGATAGCATTGGGAGATATACCTAATGCTAGATGACACGTTAGTGGGTGCAGCGCACCAGCATGGCACATGTATACATATGTAACTAACTTGCACAATGTGCACATGTACCCTAAAACTTAGAGTATAATAAAAAAAAAAAAAAAAGAGCAAAAATTTTTTCTTGCAGGTCTGGAGTCTTGATGCTCAAGATCAAGGCACCCCCAACTTCACAATCTGGTAGGGACCTTCTTCCTGGTTCATAAATGGAATCTTCTTTCCGTCCTCACACAGTGAAAGGGACAAATCATATCTCTAGGGTCTCCTTTATGAAAGCACTAATCCCATCCATGAGGGCTGGATCCTCATGACTTAATTGCCTCCTAATGACCCTACATCTTAATACTGTCACATTGATGGTTAAGTTTCTTTTTGCTTTTCTTTTCCTTTATTTTTTTTTTTTTGAGACGGAGTCTCACTGTGTCGCCTAGGCTGGAGTGCAGTGTCGCTATCTAGGCTCACTGCAACCTCCGCTTCCCGGATCCAAGGGATTCTCCCACCTCAGCCTCTCCAGTAGTTGGGAGTACAGGCTCCGCCACCACGCCCGGCTAATTTGTGTATTTTTATAGTAGACACGGGGTTTCATTACGTTAGCCAGGCTGGTCTCAAACTCCTGACCTCAGGTGATCTGCCTGCCTCGGCCTCCCAAAGTACCAGAATTACAGGCATGAACCACCACCACCAGCTGTTATATTTCAACATATGAATTTTGGAAGAATATAAACATTGAGAAAATACCATACGCACTTACTCATAAAACTTTCAAAACCGGTGGGAATTATATTACCTTTATTTTACAAATGATGAACGGGAGTTGAAGAATGGAGAAGGAAGTAAATTGTTTATGATTATCCAGGTAGTAAGTGGCAGATTCTTGATGCAAATCAAAACATTGTGCATCCGGAATCTGCATCCTTAACTGCAAGTTTATTTTATATCGATAATGGTGAATTTTCTTCTTGTTTTCTTGGAAAAGCACAGTAATATGATAGTATACAGCTGGATGAATTAACATAAACTACCACATGGTTTTAGCAGAACCTCTCAGAAACTCCCTCAATTGCTACCCCTTCTCCAGAGGGAACCATGACCCCAAATTCTAAAATTATAAATAAGTATGTTTGTTATTGAAATTTATAAAAATGGAGTCATTTGGTACAAACTGTATATTCTGGCATTTTTCTTGCAACATTATACTTTTGAGATTCATCCCTGTTATTTGTGCAACGGTAGTTAAATCATTTTTATTGCTGTATAAACCATCCACTATTCAGTAGTAAATATATTTACTAATATACTGTTGGCCATCTAGGTGATTTTTTTGGTTTTTTACTATTATAGATGGTTCTTCTATGAACATTCTTGTATATATGTTTTATTATTCCAGCAGGGATTTGTTGAGTAACAGGTAAAGAACAGGGTCAAATTTAGTAGCTGTGGTCAAAATGTTTTTCACAGGTTTTGAAAATATTTACACTTCTACCAGTAGAAAATCTTGAAATTTAACTATGATTGTAGGTGAGTAGTGATATTCCCCAATTTTTATTTTACACTTCCTTGATGAATAATAGAAATCAGCATGTTTTCAAATGTTGGCCTCTTGGATACCTTCATTTGTGATGTGCCTGTTCATGTTTTTTGTACTTTTAATTTTATTGGGTTATCTATCTTGTTCTTATTTATATGAAAGTCTTTTATTCATTGTAAATGTAAAATTTATATTATGTATAATTTTTGTAAATATTTTTCTCCCTCTGTTACACAGTTTATTTTCTTAGTATTTCCTATTGAGAAACAGAAGTCCCTAATTTAATGTATCTAAATGAATAAATGAGTAATTTATTTTATGCTTAGAGGTTTGGGTAAACACCTTAAAATCTTTTCCCACAAGTTCATGAGAATGTTCTCAAATGTATTATTTTATTTTTTCTCTTTTAACTTTTTCCATTTGTGTCTGCAATTCAACTCAATTTAATATTTTATGGTATGAGTAGGGTCAATTTTTATATTTTTCTTTCTACATGGATACCCAATTGAATCAGAGGAATTAAGAAGACTACTCTTTCCTCATGATGTTAGATTTTTCTCTTTGTTATAATCTTTATGTCTATTTATCTATCTTTATATCCATTTATGTATCTGGCTTTTCTATTCAGTACCATTGATCTACCGCTCTAACCTTGCCCTAACACGAAGGACAAGAAAAAAAATATCTTTCTGAAGGGTTGAAAAAATATCTTTACCTCACCCGTCCTAAGTTCACAGAAGCCCGTATAACAGAAGACAATTAATAAGAAAAAGCATATGGATATATTTCATAGAAAATTTACATGACTTGAGAGTCTTCATAAGGAAATGAAGGCCCAAAGAAATGGGTAAACCTGTAGATTTTTTACAGGTTTTACAAAGAGTGGACATCAGAGAAATATGATTGGACAAAATGTATGATTTAATGTCAATAAACTGGGGGGAACTTAGCAAGATCTGTTTGGTCAGATTCTACTTTGTATTCTTGTGTCCTCAGAGATAAGGGTGCTCCTTTCCTCTTGGTATAGAGGATACCCCTCCAATGAGGGTCTTATGACCTGCTTCTAGGGAAAGCTGGAAAATCTTTCCTAGGTTTTATGTCCTGCTTTAAGAGAAAAAGGCCAGAGAAAGTCAAAGGGCAGCCTTTCTGATTCTGTTGTTTTCTCAAATGCCAATGTGCTGTATGGGGTAGGAGGTCCTGAACCTCATCGCCGCTCTGTCTTAATTAAATTGTTTCGTGATACAGATAGAAACCAGCCAGACATTTGCTCTACTTCCTTTTATTTTAAAGTGTCTTGGTTGCTTGGGGGGATTTGCTTTTCGATGTATGTTTTAGAATTGACTTTGAGTTTTATGAAACTTCCTGTTGGGAAAAAATAGACATGTGCATGATATAGAGACTTACTCTGGTAAAAATATTGAGATGTTCTAATTAATTTAGATTTTCTTCAAAGGCTTTCAACAAGTTAAATAAACTTCTTCATAAAATGATTTATATATCTCATTAGCTATATAATGAATATGGTGGTATAGCCATCCACCCTTTTTAAAAAGATTTTTTACAAGATTTTCTTCAGTATCTTGGTTTCTTAGCATTTTCAGGTGCATTTTAGTGCAACTTTGTCAAACTGCTACCATATATCCTCCCTTAAAATATTCCATTTGTTGAGATTCCATTGAATCTATAGATCAATTTGGGAGACAGGAATTTTTATATTGAGCATTCAAATACACAAACATGGTATACACTTCAATTTATTGAAATCTATTATATTGTATCTCAATAATATTATGTTTCTATGTGCAAATATCTGGTATATATTTTAGTAGAACTATTTCTATGTGATTAAATTTCTTTAATATAATGAACACTAGAGTTTTTAAACCTTCACATCTAATATTTTCTTACTGGAGTTTAGAAATAAAGTTTATTTTTTATACTGATCTTTATCCAATGGCCTTGATACATTTACTTATTAAATACACTAGTGTATGCAATAGTTATACTATTGGTACACAATGCCATCTATGAATAATGGCGTTTTTATTTATTCCTTTCCAATCTTTATACCCATGATTGTATTTTCTCGTCTTAGTGTACTGGCTACATCTTCTAATAAAATAGGGAAGAGAGTAGCAGCTAGCTTTATTATTCCAAACTCGCTGAGAAATTTTAGACATTTTACTGTAGGTGAGGGAGTAACAAATGTTTTCTATGAAGAGTCGGGTGTATGTATCTTTAGACCTGCAGAGCATAATCTCTGTCATTACTATGAAACTCTGTCAGTTCAGGACAAAAGCTATCAGAAATAATAATCAAATGAATAACTGTGGCCATGTTCCTATGTAACTTTATTTAGAAAACAAGAATGGGTTACATTTTTCCTGTGGGCCATAGTTTGCCTTTTCTAGTGTAAGAAATCTCTTTAGTATTCAACTTTCTAGCAGTTTTGTGTAATGAATAAGCTTTATTCAATGGTTTTTAACGTAATATTAGGTAATAGCTTTATCTTCCTTGTTCTAGAAGGAATTTTCAGAATTGCCAAAAAGTTTTAAAAATATTAAGCTATTTACATTCCTGAAGGATATCCTAACTGTATGTGATGCATTATTTTTTGTTTTTAATCTATTGATGGATATTGTAAAACATATTTTTAGAATTTCATTTAGTTGCACTGTGTTTTAACTTTTAAAAATGTAACTTTTAACTATTATGGGTACATAATGAGTGTATATACTCATGGGGTACACGTGATGTTCTGATACAGGCGTACAATGTATTATAATAAAATCAGGGTAATTGGGGTATCCATAATCTCAAGCATTTATCATTTCATTTTGTTAGGAACATTTTAATTCTATTCTTTAAGTTATTTATCTATTTATTTTGATACGGAGTTCCGCTCTTGTCGCCCAGGCTGGAGTGCAATGGCACAATCTTGGCTTGGCTCACTGCAACCTCCGCCTCCTGGGTTCAAGCAATTCTCCTGCCTCAACCTCCTGAGTAGCTAGGATTACAGGTGCTGGCCATCACGCCTGGTTAATTTTTAGTATTTTTAGTGGAGACGGGTTTTCACCATGTTGGCCAGGCTGGTCTCAAACTCCTGACCTCTGGTGATCCACCAGACTTGCCCTCCCAAAGTGTTGGGATTACAGGCATGAGCCACCGTGCCCAGCCAAGTTATTTTAAAATACACAATAAATTCTTGTTGACTATCTTCACCCTGTTGTAGTATCAGATACTGGATCTTATTCATTCTAAGTGTATTTTAGTACCCATTAACAATTTGCACTTGCCCCCAACCAACCAACATTTTTTTCTTTTAGTATTTTTCTATTCCTTTTCTGTCAGGATTATATTGTTCATACTGAGTATGGAAGCATTTTTTTCCTTATTTAACTCTGGCAAATATCATTTAAAGATTTGCTATTTTTTTCCTTAATTATTTGGTAGTTTTTTCATGGTGAGATCATTTGGGCATGAAGTTTTCTTCTGGAAAGGCTTTTAATAGCAGATTAAAATAATTTTATAGATGCAGTACTTTTCAGAATTTTTATGTATCTTCTCCTGTCAGTTGTGCTGTGTTTTTCAGGCACTTTTTTTTTTTTTTTTATAAAACACATCAACTTAGTTGGTAAATTTTGTCACTAAATTATCATTCTTAGATTTCTGCAGAATCTATGGCAGCAGAATAGATCCTGCAGAATTCTTTAATTCTGATTTTGTCTTTTTTTCCCTTTCTGTTTTTTCCTTTTTACCCCCTTCCTAGGATTTATCAATGTATTAGTCTTGTTAAAAACTAAATTTTGACGTTTTTGCTACTACATATGCATTTTTTTGTTTCATTAATTTCTTTCTTGTCATCGTTTCCTTGCTTCTATTTGTGTATGTGTGTGTTCACCTCTATTTTCTTTTCTAACTATCTGAAACAGATCTTTACTGTTACTGCCCTTAGCTAGTCACTGTCTCAGAAGGTCTTTCGATTAACAATAGAAAAGGTGTTGCTTTAAGATGATAAAATTAATCACTTCCTACCCACTATTGTAAACTCTCAGTAAGTGTGAGACAAGTTTATAGGGACACTGAAATTGCATCTTCTTTTTTTGATCTCCTTTATTTACTTTCCATTATACTGCACCAACTATTAAATTTATTTTGACCATGCTCATTTCATTTATGCAGTCTATTCCCCTTTGCTAGTGAACTTAAGACTAGCATATATCTATCATGCTAAAACTGATCGCTTGTAATGAGTAATAAATAAAAAATATTCTCAACTTACATATGATCTATTTCTTCTGATAATCTTTGATTCTTATCAAATATACTCAACTTGAATGTAAAAGGGAGGAAAGACCACACTGAGCAGTCCACAGAGGGAAGTTTCTCAGGGCACAGAACAAGGCAGAAAAGGGCAGGATTAAAACATTTGATCTGAGTGTGTGGCTGACAGGAAAAGTGTTTCTTTCCAGTAATAATTTGTAAATTACAAGTTGTGGAGACAGCTACTTATAAACTAAATATTCATTTCCCTTAAATAAATGACATTAACTTATATTTTGTAGATAAATGGTATTTAGAAATCAATAGGCTACAATTTTCTATTTTGATTTCATGATGAATTTGATTTTGACATTTTATTAACATAATCACTTGGTTTACGTCATAGATATATTAAGTTATACTTATGTAATCAAAGTTGAATTGTTAATAGGCAGCCATGATCTTAATTTATTGAATATTAATTTTTTTCTATAGGAATTTCTCCTAATCACTTTTATTCAAGTTGAATTAACAATAATATTTGGATCAAATATGCTATTTCTGAATATTTATTTACCTCTTCTGTAATCAGCAAATGATTAATGCGAAAGAGCCTACTATAAATTTATCTTTGAGCTAATGTAGAGAAAGAGATAGTACAGGAAATAAAATCTATTGCTTATCTCCCTAATCAACTTCTATTCCACGTGAGAAGTCAAGGGAACCATAAATCATATAAAAGTGAACACAATGAAGATGTTTTTTTCATAAACAAATTGTAAATTGTTTGCTCACATTAAAATTCATATACATATGGCAAACATCCATTTTATGCAATGCTATGCAATAGAAGTGTGGGGGAATGTTTCTACCACAAGAAAAACTATGGCCAGAATGTATTTATCTTGTGATCCTCTACAAAGCTGCAGCTCTGACCAGTATCACATAATAGTACTGTTTTTAATCAAGGTATTGACATCAACCCAGTTCAATATCAATTATATCTAAAATTTCTCTCCACTTCCCTTTATTCAGTGTACATTTAGATTATTCAGAAATAGTAGAAGAAAGATATACCGTATATACTTGTGCATTTGTTGCAGAGTTCTTTCTTACTAGTATCGGGCCTTCATTTATTTCAAGGTTCTTTGTTACTGGTTTAGGTCTAGATTTTTATATACTGCATTGACCTAAGCAAAATCTCTGTTTAACAGAATCAAATTAGTTTGATTTCACAGATCTCGTGAGACTTTCATAAACTTTCTTTATATTTTAGTCATGAGGATGCCATAAATAATTATCGGCAATCAAAAATCTCTGCAGCTTAAACTATTCTAATTCCCACCTTGACAGTCAATTACTGCTACTATTCCTACCTTACCTTTGAAGGTCAATTACAGCTACTTGGATTGTACTACCCACATATCTTATCTTCCCTATTGAAACTGGGAACCCACTTCCATCGCAGAATCATCTCTGGCCTGCAGATGAATAGCCAACAGAGTACTTTTCAAATAAACTGACCTTTTCCTCACCAATGTCCTTCTTTGTGTTTTGGTGAAACAAGGCTTTTGTGGTTCTCCTTCAGGGCCATAATGAGGGAATGTGTGAATAACTTTATAATTTCCACTTTCGCAGTACTTAGGATAAATTCTTATGTATTGCAAAATAAAACCAAACACATATCTAGCATTTCACCTTCATTTTCCATTGGCCCCCATCAAGTACAGGTTTCAAAAATCAGAATCTCTGGATAGTGCAGGCATGTTAATGAATTCATTACAATCTAAACTTATGTTTAGTGCCCTAAACATAAACTTAAAATGTAATTCCCTAAAAATATATCGCAAAACAAGTCCTTCTTGTTTTTTGTAAAAAAAAAAAAAAAAAAAAAAAAAAAAAAGTTAAACAAATTTCCATGTATTTTATTTAAATAACCAAATTCTTTTGTTGTATTTCTCCTATTGGCTTAGTCTTATTCAATAGTGTTTCAATCCTTTTCTCTTCTTGTTCATGAGGAAGGGATTCCCACTCCAGGGTATGAGAATGACTCAACACATGAGACCTGCAATTGGACAGATGAGATGGACAGCAGTGTTTTAGTCACGTAGACTCACAGTCCCAGGGAGAAGGGCACAGCATGTCATGCAGGGTTACATGGGGGTGTCCTTGAAACAGAGTGGATAAGCAGCAGCTGTGGAAAGCAGGCTTTGTAGTTTCAAGAGGGTGCTTGTCCTTTTTCATTCCCTGGGAAAAATGTGATTGCCTCATTTGATCTATGGTCTGACAGAAAACTGAAATCTTCTGTGCTCAGGGATAAGCAGGAACTTCACCTGGTCCTGTTGATAAGGAGAGTTGTTTGGTTAGGAGACTTTACCCACATGAGCGGAGGAGAGGAAGTTGTGGCTACGCCATTTGAGACCCTTCTGATTTCAACAGATGTTAAAGCATCACTTAGTATTGGACTTAGATGTTAAACTTTACTTCACAACTAGGCTTCTCTGGATGTTTAGAACTAAAAAAAAGTTGAGAGAGCTGAGAAATTGTAATCAAAACCAGATTCAGCCATTTGCTGCTCAAAAACCACACTTGAAAGACAAGGGTTGGTATTGATATGGCTCCGATGATTGGAGGAACACCAGGGTCCTTGGTCTCACGCCGGTTTGGATAAAATGACACAGACACACGTGGAGTGGTTTTTAGGAGCAAAAAGTTTAATAGGCAAGAAAGAAGGAAGGAAGAAAACAGGTCCCCCATACAGAGACAGAGGGAGGGGGGACTCGAACAAAGAGAAAACCCCATGTGCAGAGGCGGAAAAGTGGCTGCTTATACTGGGATGCTGGAGGAGGCTGTGTCTGCTTTGCATAGGGCTCAGGGGATTGGTTTGACCAAGTGTGTCATTTACGTAGCCCGTGAAAAATGTGGCCCTCCCACCTTAGTCCTTTCATATGCAAACGCAGGTCACCATGATGTTTCAAACACATGGTGTTATCTGGAGGTGGCCATGACACCTGGTACACCTAGTAAGAAGGAAAGGACAGCAGGAATTGCCACATTGAGTGAACCCAGTTTCTAATGGCTGGCATTTGCATATCAAAGCTTGCCAGCCTGGCCCTTCAAGCAGCCTTTTCTGTTAGAAAAGAGATGGTTTAAGGTTTGTTTCTTATTACAGGAAAATTTCCACCGAGAACATTTACTCTTACTATCTGCCTAAAGAATTATTTCTTAATAACTCCTGTATCAGTGGGAGGAAAAGCAGGTTTACCCAGAAAAACCAGCAAAATCAAAAAGATCATGAACTAAAATTCAGAAGTACGATCTTAAGTCAGTACAAATTTTAGGCTCTTTCTACATTAAGGACAGAGAGAAGAGGCAGGGGTTGACATCAAGAGGCAACTGATGACTACAGATATCTGGGTGACAGGGAGGGTCTGAGGAAACTGGGAACTTCTTTGCCCTTAGTCAGGTCACAATTCACCTCTAAATCTTTAATAAAAGATAGTTAGTTGTTTTCATACGTCTCCTTTAATTCCAGAGTTATTTTTTAAAAACTACATGATTGCCATTACTGCCTGTTATCTCAGTAGTCTAAAATTATCCTAACCTACTAGCAGGGACGAGCAAAGGCCCTTTGAATAGAAATGGAGTTAGGCTAGTCCTTTCCTTGTTTCATTGTTACAAAATGAGGGCTATTAGCTTCCCCTTGAAAAGTCATTGCCTTGGGCAATATTCTTCCAAGTCCCCAAAGAAGATAGAGGCCTCTGCCTCAACAGGAATGAAAAGGCTCCTTTGGCTATTAAGGACAGCTCAATTTGGTTTGGAAACTGGGATGCTCTGAGTATCCCATATCCCCTCCAGAGTCCCTATTTTAATTCCCATTCCTTATTGGTTTATGATCATTGTTCTATTTTTCATATAAAAGAACTGGTAAATTGGTAAATTTGATTAGTATAATAATTTAATAATGTACATGGTCAGATTATAATTTTTTTCACTACCTTAACTCCATGATAATTAGACAAAAGTGATTCATTTGGGACACTTATTTAAATGTTGATTTTCCTTGAACTGAGAATTTAAAACTTTTGGCATCTAATGTACTTTTTTCAAGCTCTCAGTGCAATCACAAGCACCACTCAACCCACGGTTCTTATATTTATCTTGTGGTTCACAATGTTCCATGACAACAGCTATTTAGTAACTAAGGTTTTAGCTTCAAGATGGACTTCACTTTCAATAAGTGCAGGTGGTCATTGTAGAAGATTTCATGGAACACCATGGTTACATATATTCATATAAATTATTTTTAAGCTCAACCAGCTTAGTTTACCAATACCTATTCTCATTTTTATGATGATCTGTTTCATAAAGTAATTGTATTTACTGTTTATAGTGTCAATTAAGATTCTAACTTGCAGTCAAAGCAGGCTATTCTGATTTGCTACATGGAAAAATGTATTGATTAATATATATTAGAAAGCTTATAGAATCATTAATAGAGCTAGAGAAAAGGGCTCATAGAAAATTTTGATAAAGACAATCAGAATCACTCCACAAATTGATTTGAAAGACAACACTGTCATTACTACCTGCAATACAATAATGTGATTGTAATAAAACCTCTACATCTACCAGTACACTTGATCATGTAAAATTTCTATTGATGCTTTTGGTTGCCAGGCTTCTCTAAAACATCTCTTTTCATTACATAAATGACTTATGAAGAGTCCTTTTTCTTAAATAGCTCCCACATTATCTAAAATGCCTGTGGGTCTGATTGGTAAAACATTGGTAGGTTACATTCCTTCTTTATATTGGAGGGACTTTTGACAAAGACTATTTATCCATGACAGGACGTAATTCCATTATGTTAGGGGTCCCTGCAATTGAATGTTAAATCCTACTTGAGAACTCTACTATATTAAAAAATATTTCTTCGAGACTGGTGTGTGTGTGTGTGTGTTTGTGTGTGTGTGTTTCATGTGTGTATGTATGTTGGGACTGGGGTTGGTGTGTGTATTTGGCTTTATTTTCGTATGGGTATATTTTATACTAATTACCCTCAGGACTATTAGAAGAATAAACTGACCTGAATACTAATCTAAATGTTTAACTGGTGGGCATAACTAGTATGCACCAATCTATAACTGTTTTATCAACCTTTGAGAATCCTTCTGTAAGCCCCTGTGGAAAATTCTACAACAAATACCTAAGGGAAATGTACTATGGGGTGGAAAATCAAAACGAGTAGGCAAGTTGAGAGAAAAGTGGTCTCTGTTGGTGGGGCCAGATGAGATTAGAAGAAGGAGGTGATTTTGTACACTCCTCAGTCAAACTTGAAGAAAAAATGCTAAGTTTGTAAAGGAGGCATTTATGAGACTGATAGTTTGACTTTGAAGATGTAATCTATTTATTTTTATAAAAGAAGTGGTATCTAACATATAATAGAATTTTTACTATTTATAATGTATTTTTATATTTTCCTCAAACTTCAGTAAATCTGAAACATGTAGTCTTTCTTTGTGGATGATGGGAAATAATGAGAGGGAATAGCAAAGGAATATATACCCTACCCAACATTAATTTCCCCCTTAACATCCATTGAGAAGGATCAGCATTTTCTCAAAGGCACTTTGTCCAATAAATTGAGAAGATGAATAGCCACAGAGTAAGTGAGCTGCTATCCAGGTCAAAGTGGGGACAGCAGTAAAAAAAAAAATACGGAGAAGGTGACAGAATGACAAATGATGACACAAAACCAACACCTAGCTCTCTCTCCATTTTGAATAAGCATATATAATACATCTCCTAGCTAGGAAGGAAAAAAGCAACACTTTACTAATTCATATTAATTAACAATAACATCCAGTCTTCTCACAACAAAAATAATAACTCTGTGAGATAATGCGCATGTTAATTATCCAGAGTCCGTCATTCCACAATGCATATATACTTCAAAACATCATGTTGTACATAATAAGTACATACAATTTTATGTCAATTAAAAATAACTGAAAAATAGTTAATAACAAATATGTTGCCAAACTGTATAGGACTGGTATTCAAACTAGTAGAACCTTAAACAAATTTGCTAACAAAATATTAAACGCATTTGCAGCGCTGATGTTTGTGGATGTGTTACAACCTTTACAAATATCATAATAATAGAAGAAAATTACGAATTTTTCCACTGTGAACTGACAAATAAATTTCCACTGTGAATTGACAAATAAATTACAAATTGGCAGTAAACTCAGTATTTTTTTTTTTTTTTTATCCAGCCAGTACTGAAGTCTGGACTCTCCTGATAATCTTCTTTGTAAGTCATGTTCCCACCCCCCCCTTTTTTTTTTTTTTTTAGCTTGCTATCTTCCTTTGACAACTACTTTCTTGTTCTTTCTCATTATTCAATGTAAGAAGGTAAATCCTAAAAAAAGGAGTGGAATGAAAGTAAAAGACTGTTCTGAGTTTCACATCACGCAAGGGTTATCCAGAATTGTTTGTAGTTTGGAGTAAATCATTAATCTATCATAGAGTCATACTTTTCTATCATGTTTTTAAAATATATATTCAAATAGGTTCAAAGGAAGGTAAGTGAGGCTAATAAATACTGTGAAATAGCCAAAGTAGAAAAATGTGGGCCAGGCGCGGTGGCTCACGCCTGTAATCTCAGCATTTTGGGAGGCCAAGATGGGTGGATCACGAGATCAGGAGATCGAGACCATCCTGGCTGACACGGTGAAACCCGTCTCCATTAAAAATATAAAAAATTAGCCAGGCATGGTGGCGGGCGCCTGTAGTCCCACCTACTCGGGAGGCTGAGGCAGGAGAATGACATGAACTCGGGAGGTGGAGCTTGCAGTGAGCCGAGATCGTGCCACTGCACTCCAGCCTGGGCAACAGAGAGAGAATCCGTCTCAAAAAAAAAAAAAAAAAGTGATTAGCATTTTCATAAAATCTAAGTCTATGTTAGCATATATATATATATATATATATATATATATATATTACATAGATACAGCTTTCTCTCCATATATAGAGATATTAAGTAGATATCTAGACAGAGATATTTTATATATATATATATACACATATATACAGAGAGCGACAGAGAGAGTTATGCGTACGTGTGTATATACATATATATATAGAAAGAGAGAGAGGGAGAGTTATATGTATGTAACTAAACCCATCTAAACCAAAATAATCATTCAACTATCTATCTATCTATCTATCTATATGTAAAGCAAGTATATCTCAAAGTAGTGGAAAAACTTTTAAAATATTCTAAATGACCAATAATTCTTACTTTTGGTAATGAAGACGACACCCTTGAAGTCAACAGAAAAAGTAACAACAAGAACAATAACGAAAGCCTTTGAGGCATACATTTTCTAGCTGAAAGTGACATAATTCACAAAAGCATTGATCAGAAGAACAAGGTTGCAGAAATGGTATTTTTCTCTGGACACCCTGAAAGATATGGTGATTCTAGTCCATTTAATCACCAAAAGAAAAACAAAATCCTCCAGAATTAATAGCTTGGAGATAATTCTAGTTGAAACAGGAAGCCAATATAAATCTGCCAAGATAGGACTAATATGTTGTCTCTTCACAGTGAAAGTTAAATTATGATCCAACAAGTTCTAGACATGCTGTAATTTGAAGATAGTCTTATCAAAAAAGCCATAAAAATAAATGTTACAGTAATCGGTTGCTGTAGCAACTGTGATGTGGAATAAATAAATGAGAACTTCATAAAAGCAAGTTATACAAAACATGCAAAAATGTGGCATAACTCATAAGGTATTAAATTCACATAAATATTTTAAAATCTCATTAAAATATGAATGCTTCCCTGCTTTTTGTGAAAGTGTCAGTGTTTAAAAGCTTAAAGGTACACATTAAAAATGTAGGCAAGTGCTGTGCATGGTGGCACACACCTGTAATCTCATGTTGGGAGGCTGAGACAGGCGAATTGCTTGAGCCCAGGAGTTTGAGATCAGTCTGGGCAACATGGTAAAACCTTGTCTCTACCAAAAAAAAAAAAAAAGCAAATTAGCAGGTGTGGTGGCACAGGCCTGTGGTCCCAGCTACTGGGGAGGCTGAGTTGGGAGAGTCACCTGAGCCCCGAGAAGTTGAGGCGGCAGTAAGTCATGAGTATGCCACTGCACTCCAGCCTGAGAGAGGGAATGAGACCCTGTCTCAAAAAAAAAAAAAAAAAAAAAAAAAAGTAAGCCAGGTGCTGTAGATGCTGTTACTCATGCCTGTAATCCCAGCACTTCTGGAGGCCAAAGCAGGAGGATCACTTGAGCCTAAGAGTTCAAGATCAGCCTGGGTAAAGTAGCAAGACCCTGTCGCTACAATGAATAATAAAAAAGTAGCCTGGCATGGCGGTTCATACATGTAGTCCTAGATACTAAGAATGCTGAAGTGGGAGGATTGCGTGAGCCCGCGAGTTCAAAGTGACAGTGCCCTGTGATCATGCCACTGCACTCCAGCCTGGACAATACGGCAAGACCTTGAATTTGTTGTTTGCAAGATGGAGAGCTCCCATTCAAAAGGAAAACAAAAGATAGCCTTTAAGATCTCATGAGTTATAAATCTGAAGATTAAATATTAGTAATACCATTGAAGCATATCTTCCTATTTGCACCAACGTGGATGAAACTAGAAGTCATTATGCTTCTAGTACAGAAAGACAAATACTGCAAAATGTGACTTACTTAAAAGTCAAATTTATAGAAGTAGAGAGTAAAATGCTGGTTACCAGGGGTGAGGGAAGGTGAGAGAAGAAATGGGGAGATGAGTGTAAAGTTTCAGTTATACAGGAGGAATAATTTTTTGAGATCTCTTGCATAGCATGGTGACCATAGTTAATGATAATGTATTATAAGTTTCAAAAGTGCTAAGAGAGTAAATGTTAAATATCTCACTACAAATTATGTTATGTATGTGAGGCGATGGATATGTTAGTAAGCTTGATTTCGTCATTTCACATTGTATACAAATATGACAACATCACACTGTACTCCATAAATGTATACAATTATCTGTCAAATAAAACTTTTTAAAATTGAGAAAAAATTGCATCTCCTGAAACAATTTTCTTCTTTTCTTTGTCTACTACTCTCCCATGTTTACATTTCTGTCTGTTCTTACCCTTGTCTTTATTGTTTTTCTTTAAAACTTAACATTTTCAAAATATTTTTCTTATTATATGTCCCACCACAATTCAGTAGGTAGAATAGTATTATTCCTATTTTTCAGGTGAATGAATATGAGCTTTAATAATATTCTATATTGGTGTCAAATTTTAATTTTAAAAAATCTTCCTTCAAAGTCATGGAGAAATACCTTACTGAGTTTTCTTGTAGAGTGCCACAATGTCCCCAAGAGAAGTATATAGTGGTTGAGTACGTGATTGAAGTGTTAGTTTATTTATGAGATAATAATTAATCATGAAATTTTAGAGACAGACTGAAATATGTCAATGGTTCTATTGAGTTTATGCAATATAATCCAGAATTTAATTTAACTAATTTGACTATGAGAAACCAATTTTCCATTAAGCTAAGTAACTAAAATTGCAACATGTTTCAAAATTGCATTCTCACTGTGAGCAAACGCAAAAAGAAATCTCAGAAATTTACTCGTAATTCAAGCAGCTTTCTGTCTTGTATTCAAAAATATAAAATTGAATAACTAATATACTTTATGAAAAACATTTTAAATGGAGTAGGTGGTTTCCTATGTTGCCTCTGGAACAAAAGTCTTCACCTGAGTCAGTATTAACCTCTTTGAAAATTAAGAAGAAAAGATCTGTTAAAACAGTATGAGATCAACATAAAGAGATAAATTGACTAAGAAGATATACAAATCTTAATCACATATAAGCATTTAGGACTTCATTTGTTGTTATCTCATTCTGTTTATATTTTTTTCTTACATCTGTGAGATATTTTGTGTCAAACCCAGCTAGCTGCCTTTGTAAAACTGATCAGTCTCTTATACCTTATTATTATATTCCCAAGTTTCTTTGGGGAAGCAAACGGTCCAGTGTCCAGAGTAATGGTTACTTTCCCAGCCTCCCATGAAGTAATGGATAGAAATCTAACATACTTGCAACAAATGAGATGTAAGTGGAAGTCTACTGGTGGGATTTTCAGACAACCTGATTGTTCTCCTGACAAGGTTAAATAATTAGCTCGTGTACTCATTTTGCTTTTTTTTTTTTTTTGTAACCTCCTTTACTTTCATTTGTCTGTTCTACTCTTCTTGCTTAGAGTGTGGTTGCAATGCTGGAGTTTTCAGCCCATTTTGTGGACATGAGACTGTAAAATCCATGTGAAGGTAGGTAGACTAAAAAGATAAACAGTGCAAATACATTGATGATATCATTAAGGTAAAGAACAGTGTCAATCTTGGCTTGTTCAATATTGGGGCATTGTTTTTATGTGAGATTAAAAAAAAAAACTTCTTTGACAATTCAGTTTCCTATAGCAGAAATTCAATATAGTTCTATTGGTGTCCTAAATGCTCTATTTATATACAGGTTTAGTCACATCAGGAAACAAAATATTTTTGATCATTTTATTTTATTATAAGAGTCATATTTTTCTATACTTCTTAAGTGCCATCTATAGCATCAGAATATGTCAATATTTTTCTGTTAAAGGTGTATTCATAAAGATTATAATAATATCTATATGCTCTATTTATGTGGTTATGACCTATGCTACTTTCAGATTTTCTGTTATTCTGCAAGAGCCCAAATAAAAAGATAATTAAAATACAGATTACATACATAAGTCCATCTATTTGATAGTTCATTTTCTTCTGGAAAGTTTGCTGCTATATATAAAATATTTTTTTAATCTGATAGAAATACTTGATTGGGGCATCACACAGTCTCAGAGCAAAAAATGTAATAGACTCAAGAGTCTCAGAACAAAAAGCTCAATAGATTCAAGTATTTTAACCTCAATTTGCATTTCACTTTAAAATTTTTAGCACACTCATACTGGTTTATCATGAGAAAAGATCATAATAAGAAGTGCATTTACCGTGACATATGGTTACTTTGGAAACCTTTGTTACTTTGATATATTTATATAATTTACTAATTTACTAATGCAAAAAATTTAGATAAGTGAACTCAAAATATTTAATCTGAATTCTATTAAGTTTGAAACTACTACAAGCAAGTCCCCATAGAAACTTAAATAGATTTGAAATTCATGAAACTTTTGCAAACAAGCTCAAACATAAATTTAAAAAATCATTTTATTTTTGCAAATACCAACACGAGGTATTATTCTTATATCCTTGTGGCATATGGATACTTTTAAATTCCAGCAAGACTTTCTTTGATCTTCATTCATAGAGGGATATATTATTTGAGTCTCACATTAGATTAAAGAAAGCTTAACAAAATTTAATAAGTAAATAATAAGGTGTGTTAATTTTTTTGTTAGATACCACAACTTCTGATGCAGAAAAACAATAATCATACTTAAAAGACTTTAAGGTAGAAAAATAATATGTAATGTGCCTTTTGAGCAGAATGTGACATGGGCTATATATAGTTTGGCCATTCTAATAGAGTTTATACCACTGTAAGTCTTTTCATATTGTCTACAAAACCAATTACATGCTGATTCAGAAATCACATTTCACAGCTTCCCTTGTCAGATCACCATATGATTAAGGATGGCAATGATTGTTTTCTTTCTTCCTAATCAAATGGCCTGGCCATTTCCCAAGGTCAGAAGAGTGTGAAAATGAAGTTCACTGTCTTGGCAGCCATCTTCCTTATGCTTTTGTTGCACCTCTCTTCCCACTAGGTAAGCATCACCTCCATTACTGTCCTTCCTGCTGACTTCTAGGTTACTCTTGCCCTCACCACCTATGTATTCTGTTGTGATGATTGCCTAACGCTTAGAAACTGTTTCCAAGTATCAGGTCTCAAAAGAAAGATGCCTTGCCAATAACTCCTACAAACACAGTATCTGCACTACTGAGTTTTTCTTTGTCAGACCAAAAAAAAAAAAAAAAAAAAAATGGGGTTTGGACTCAGATTGCCTAGGTTTAAATTTTTGTTCCACAGTGGCTGTGTGATCTTGGTCAAGTTCTTGAAATTCTCTGTTCTTCACAATTGTTGGCGCTAAAAATTGAGGATAAAAACAGTGCTTACCTTATAGTGTTATTGCAAGAATTAAATCAGGTATTGTGCATAAAACTAAAACTAATAGTTCTCATAAAACTAGAACTACAACTCTTACATACAAATCATGTCACTGATTCATCAATAATTGCATGACATTTTACTATAATACAATATAAGTAATAGTATATTTGAATAACACCAATTCCATTGTTATTTTGAAAAACATCATAGGGAAAGAAATCATACTGATATTAAAATAGTGTCAAATTCTATGTTTTGAGCTGAAATTGTGGGGATGAAAAATGGAATACAAAATAAATGCATGAATGCAGAACCACACATTATCATGAACAGTAACATGGGCACAAGACAAGGCAACAGCTTTTAATCCTATCCTCTTCAGTTTCAATGTCATTTCCTCCTTTTGTGGCTGGGTTGATTTTAAATTTGTTGCATTATTATAGAGAGCATCAATTTAAACTAAGGAAAATATCACTTACCTTCTATATTGTAACACATGATAAGCACTCCATGCATAGTATTATTGTAACATTCTTATCATAATATATTGCTGTTTTCTTGTATAGTGGCCTCTTACATCTTATGCATTATCACTCCAGTCTCAGGATACTCAATGGGTAAATCTTCAGACTGTTTTTCTTATTGCATATATTTATCTAATATCTCAATTGATAATATTGTGCAAACCTCTATAATTAGCATAAAATGATTTCCTTTTATTTCATAACATAGAAAATATATGTTTAAATTTTTCCATAGTACTTTATTTGAGAAGATATTTTTACTTCAGTAAAACAAGAATTTGCAAATTCTCTTATTATAGAAGGAGTATGTTAAAGATAATGTGTCCAGACATTTTAAAGTTATCATCTCATCTTAATTCTTAAACAAGTATTTGCAAAGTTTCCTGAACTTGGTAATACTAAAATGTAGTTGTTTCAGTTCCTCTAATTAACAAGTAGTTATTAAACACAATTTTGTAGAAGCAATTTTTTATTAGTTTAGCATGTGGTATTCTAACTAGATTATATACAAAGCGGAAGGATATTAAGGAAAGAATATAGGAAGAGTTATTCCTTTAAGAAAAGTGACCGATTAGGGAACTCAGGGAATATAATTATTTAAAAAAATGTAGACATTACTCAGTTCACTGACTATAAGTAAACTGTAAAGAACCATTTCTACCACCAAGGCATGTGTGCGTTTGTTGACAAGGAAAATAGAAGTAGGAATATCTGAGAGAATTTCTGGGAAAAAGAAGTGCCTCTGCCTGAGACCGAGTCTCGATCTGTTGCCCAGGCTGGAGTACAGTGGCATGATCTTGGCTCACTGCAACCTCTGCCTTCCAGGTTCAAGCAATTCTCCTGCCTCAGCCTCCTGAGTAGCTGGGATTACAGGTGCCCGCCACCACACCGGGCTAATTTTTTAAATTTTTATTACAGATGGGGTTTCACCATGTTGGCCAGTCTGGTCTCAAACTCCTGACCTCAGGTGATCCACCTGCCTCGGCCTCCCAAAGTGCTGGAATTACAGGCGTGAGCCACTGTGTCTGGCCCCTTTTAGCCAGTTTTTAAAAGGCCTGTAATCCATAACCTCATTATCTGGCTTGCCCCAAAACTGTGGCAAAGTGTCCTATCAGAGATTCACTATAAACTCTTAGAGTATTAAAAAGCAAAGTAGTTTAATTTTAGTCTTGTCCTCATCATATAAACAATTTTCCCAAACAATTTTCCCAATACTTGTTGTAATCTAGTATTGTTAAAGAGAGAATAATTATTCAACAATACTTGTTAAGGTATTGTAAGGCAGACTTTATTCAAAACCATCACAATTGGTACATATGAACCACAGCAATGGGATTTTGCAGTAGGGGAGAGAGATTGGACTCCACTCTGAATATAGCGTGGGCAGGTGGGACTTTATAGCCACAGAGCAGGGTGGAAGTCAGTGGATGAAAAATTACTAATAGGACACATCAGGAATTAGAGGTATTCTGGCTACACTGACCTAGCAGGATTCCTGCTGAAGGCAGGCCAGGGCGATCAAACATCTCCTGGAGGACAGCGAATGAAGAACCCGATTAAATATTTTGGGCGATTAGACATCAGGGAGAGGGAGATTGATTCTAGCTAACCTGATTTAGCAGGGTTCTTTGCTAAAGCTGGATTTTGCAAGGAAGTGCACAGGCAGGCTTAGGAAAAGTTTCCGGAGGCTGACTAAAGTTTGGTCAAGCAAAGAATCTTTGTCTGTATGAAGATAATCCAAATTTATGCACACCATATGCTTTGGACTCACTTTATGGTAAAAGCTGAAAATTACTGCAGCACAATGGTGATTTGTGATCAGAAGAGTCTTAAAAGGGCACAGCTTCAGCTGGTTTAAGGAAAACGATGTGTCTGCTAAGGACTAGTAGCCATGAATGATTTTAGTAACCTGTATGCACAAAAAGAAAAATGACTGCCATCCTAAGACATTGAAAAAAGCATAATGTATTTCTTTTACATTTCTCAAAGATTTTGCCGTTTTTGTGCCTTAATCCTGCCACCTGCTGGTGTTACATAGAACTGAAAAGAAATGGCAAAAATATTTTAATATGAATTTTACAGGAAACATACAATTGTTTCAAATTGCTCTAGTATAGTAACTAATGTTTTTCAGCAAAGTTAGTGTTTTTCTTAGAATATATGCCTCTTTAAAACATTATATTAATATACTCAGTGAAGGAAAATATGGAATGTTAGCAAGTGTTATGTTAATAATTTTCTTTTTTTTCATAGCTGCTTTGAGGAGTTGATGTATAAATAAAAGATTTTTTCACCAAGAACTAAGAAAAGTATGCACAGTAGCAAGGTATTTTTATAGGAACTGCAAGTAATGAATTCAAATGTGGCTTTCAAAACTGTTACTTTTTTTTAAATGAATTCTTATGTATCTTTGGTTTTTCCAGCTTCTTGGCTTCCCATGCCTTTTGTGCAAATATGAGCCAGGAAATCTTAGCCACAGCAGAGCTATGTGAGGAGATGCTATTGTATCACTGCTATACAATGATCATACAGAAGACTTGAGCTAAATCTGTACTGAAAGAAATTATAGGGAGACTGTGTAATTACGGTTTGCAAGGAAACCTACATGATTATAATTTGAGAAATTTAAAGAAATTGTTTTTTTCACATTTGGGGACACAATTTTTGTCTCATGAAAACTGATTATTTTTCCTTTTCAGGAGAGCAAAGACAATTATATACTCAGAAACATAATTGGTACAATACTGATTAAAGGCAAAAGACACTTTAAGAGACTGCTTCTTAGTCATGCATTTTTTCTTTATTATAGCAAGAGACTGTCTTAGAAAAAGGCAAAAAAAAATAAAAATTTCAGGGAATTAAAACAAATTCTTCAGTATAGTTTATGCCTCATTTTTTAGTCTTTAATTCAAATTAAAATTATGTTGCTGACTAAATTGACATCTGTAAAATGCAAAAAGACAGTCATATTTTCTTCAAATAGTTTCACATAATGTGCGGCCTGAAACAATGTCATTTTAGCTAGCACTTTGTCAAGGAAAGTAATCCAAGAAAACAAAAGGGAACATGAGGAGTGAGCAAGGAATAGAAAGCCAATGTGCAAATAGGTTATGGAGAGGGCTGGCTCCGTGGCAACTGATGGAAGATGTGGTAGGAATGTCCTCTAAGAATCCCTGAAACTCCCAGGAAACTGATGGGAAAGACTTGATTCTTCAGCTCTAGTGTCTGATTTGTAGGTGTTTTACTCCCAAGATGTTACATGTCAGGCACTTCTGAGTTGTGCATTCATAGATACCTCAAGGCAGTAGCTGAGATTCACATGGTATGGATATGAGGTGAGGTCCTTTCAGTTGCACTTGCATTAATTAGTTGGAACACATAGTGATTTGATCACTTTAGCAGCAGCTTGAACGAGACAATGATAAGTTCAAGAGCTTCCAAAGAGGTATATAAAAGAAGTGACAGGTAACTCAATATTCAATATTTATTACATAATTTAAATTTTATCTATAAGTCATAAAACCTTAAAAAAGGGAACTGCACATTTCAGTTACTCAGACAGATGTATGGTATCATATAGAGAAGATATGTGAGCATCTGACTATCATTCAAGAGTTACAGAAGGAGGCCTGGTGCGGTGGGCCACACCTGTAATCCCAGCACTTTGGGAGGCCAAGGCGGGCGGATCACCTGAGGTGGGAGGTCGAGACAAGCCTGACCAACATGGAGAAACCCCGTCTGTACTAAAAATACAAAATTAGCCAGGCGTGGTGGTGTATGCCTGTAATCCCAGCTGCTCAGGAGGCTGAGGCAGGAGAATTGCTTGAACCCGTAGGCGGAGGTTGCAGTCAGCCAAAATCGTGCCATTGCACTCCAGCCTGGGCAACAAGAGTGAAACTCTGTCTCAAAAAAAAAAAAAAAAAAAAATTAGAGTTATAGAAGGAGAAATATTTAGACAAATCTACACAACAATGGCCCAAAGTGTTTTAGTTTGTGTCTTTGTTAGTTTGTTTTTAATATGTGTTACTTTAGAAATGAACATTTCAATTGAAGATGAGAAAGACATGGCAAATTACTTTTAAATAAATATATTTAAAAATAATAAATATATATTATTTCACATAATAGTAAGCAACCAAATTGCTGTGTTTTTTTATATTTTAATGTGGCCTTTCTTGTTTATTTATATTATATCTGTATCAGTTTAGAATTTGAGACTTTGAAGGCACTACTCATATCACTCCTATATAGCTGTCACTAACTTTCTTCTCTCTTGCTTTCGGTCATTGTGTTCACGGCCTTAATGGTCATGACTCTGAAAGCCCCAGAATGATCATGACTGGCAATGATTGCTAAAGGTGTCACTATTACGGGATTTCATTTGAATTGCAAGAGTGTTATGCATAGTAAATGTTCCTCCATGTTTGTACCAGGGCAATCAGAGCTTGATGTCAAAGGAGCTACTGGTTTGGCTAATGGTTTATTTTTGTATTGCTGCCCAAGATATTAGCCTGGTTTCCTTTGGTATACAAAACACTAGATCAACTATGTGTATTTACATCGTGTATTTTTTTCTGGAAGTCAAATCTCTTACCTTCAGTCTTTAAAAAATATTCTGTTACATAAATTGTAAAAATATGTTTTTCTTTCAGATTTCATTCAACCCTTTCAGCTTTTATTTGCAACGTCTTGTACCTAGACTCAAATATTATCCACGGAAAATAGGCAAGAATAGAATTTGAGAGAGTATATGTGAATTTCTACTCAATAATTTTCCTTACAAATTGAGCATCAAAATAAATAATGCCACATTGTGTAATACCACTCATTAAACAAAACAATAACCCATTAAATAGAAAGATAAGGAAACAAGGAAGGAAAAAAGGAAGAAAAGAAGGACGGGGAAAAAGGGGGGAGGGCAGATAAAAAGGAAATAAAGGAAAGATCTCTCTTATAGCAGAAGTTAAAATTGTATATAAGTGTGTGTGTGTGTATACCAAAAAAATCCTCAAATATTTCAAATTTGATAAACAACAGAATTTTTTTATAATCTCAAGTTAGATACCTACAGCAAGCTTATTCATTAATTGCACTTATTAATGTTACAGGAAAAAACTGTGGTCACCTTCTTAATTAAGTGATAAAAGCTAATGTTACCAATACTGGATGAAAAGCACATTATACATATGTCTTCAGCTATGATGTGCTGAGAAGGACATAGCACCAAAGGTGTGGTATGCCTGACAAACTGCATAACATGAATCTAATCTTTAGGAAATATCAGAAAAGGTCAATTTAGAGAAATTGCAAAAGATAACTGGCCTGTACTTTTTAACAATGTCAAGGTTAAGAAACAGAAATTAAATCTGTGGAAATGTTCCAGATTAATAGATGCTTAAAAGATATGACAGCTAAATACCATATGTGATTCTGCACATAATCCTGGAAGCAGCAACTGTAAACTATAAAGGTCATTATTGGAACAATTGATATTTAAATATGGACTACAGGTTACATTGGTGGTGTTTCAATGTTAAATTTTCTAGCATTTTACATTTCTGTTGTTATGTAAGAAAATTCCCTTTTTCTTTAAACATACAAACTGAAGTATTTAGGGGTAAAGGGGTCCAGCACATCCAAGGTGCTCTCAAGAGGTTCTGAAAAACAAACATATGTATACATGTAAACTTATGAATAGAGAGAATGAGATAAAATGTTAACAACTATAAAACTGGGTACATGTTCTAAGAAAATTAATTGTATTATTCTTGCAATGACCATGTAAGTTTAAAGTTGTAGCAAATCAAAAGATTTGAAAAGCAATCTCCCTTCCTATATATCTTTTCATACTGGTTCATCGTTCTCATAAAAATTTGTGACTCTTGGTCTCCTGGTCCTGTAAAATATTCCCAAGAAACTTCATTTTGTTAAGTGAATTGGTCCATTAATATATTACAGGATGGTAACATAACATTTAAAAGGCAGTCTATCCCATCAAATTTAACTGAAATAAAAATAAAATTTATTTCATTATTAAATATTTAAGGGTTCAATGTGCTAAGAAAAAGATACAAGTGAATTTGAAGGATTTTCTACAGAGGAGACAATGAAGGATACATTCAGTCAACATTTCTAGGCCTTATTCTCCCAACTAGTTTAATACGAAATTAGCTTTGTGTTTTGTGCGTTTTTCTCCAGTGTATTGTTGGTTATAAATCCCATGTTTTGGCTATGTTTTTTTCATAGTGAAATATGTCGTGCCTTGAAACAAAAAATTGCTGTTTCATTGAAAAGATATTTCCCAGAGGCACTTTGATCCTTCATTCAAATAGATCCCTAGAAATCTGATTACATAGGTCTTCCTTATAAAACACATATGCATACATAAATATCCTACATTTTGTGATAAAAATGTAGTTAAGTGAAAAGAAAAAGAGGCTAATATCCTGTCATGCATAGTTAGTAGATATCTTATACTAATGTCCTAGATTAGGAGATAATATTATATAATTTTAAAATGTTTTATTGTAGAATAGTGATTAAAAATGTATCGTATATAGCTAGCATTCAACATTAGTTCCTATTATATATTCTGGATGAAAATGTAAATAACTAAGCATATAGTAAACAAAAAGTTATCTCTTCCCTCTCAAATTAATAAAAAGTAGTCTCATTTTTTATCAATTCTGGTTTCCCCCATGAAGGGAAATTAATTGAGCTTAAAATTTCTAATTAAAGGAAAACATTCTCAATTACTTAGTTTTACTATGTCTTGATTTTATCCTAAATTAATACTATGTTATAGAAGTTACATTTAGAAAAGTAAGATGTTAAATTCCTGTTTGTTAGCATTGCAATGTATTTTCATATTTGGTATAATAAAATATGTACATCATAATAGTTATATGTATATTGACACTATAATAATAATTATTATTATTATTATTGAGACAGAGTCTGCTCTGTCGCCCAGGCTGGTGTGGAGTGGCATGATCTCCGCTCACTGCAAGCTCTCCCTCCCAGGTTCACGCCATTCTCCCGCCTCAGCCGCCCGAGTAGCTGGGACTGTAGGTGCCCGCCACCATGCCCGGCTAATTTTTTTTCTTTTAAGTAGAGATGGGGTTTCACTGTGTTAGCCAGGATGGTCTCAATCTCCTGATCTTGTGATCTGCCTGCCTCAGCCTCCCAAAGTGCTGGAATTACACGCATGAGCCATCGCTCCCGGCTAACACTATAATTATTTTATAAAATAGATAATATGGCTGTTTTTTATCTTGGTAAAGCAAAAAAGAGTGTTGTTGGTTTGTTAAAGTGAATGCCTGAAACAAAAATGTATCTTCAAGTGACCTATTTGTTTGTTTTAGTATTATTAATGGTTAAAATTTGTTAGATACACTTTTTACCATTTCACAAATATTGACCATTTTATATGCATAATAACCCTATGAGATAATTACATTTATTATCTTAATTTTAAAGATTTGGAAGAGGCAGCCCAATGACTTTAATCAACTTGTCCAGAATCCCATGCCTGTTTTGCTTCTCAACAAGAAGACAGGTAAACACCATATTATTAGTTTTATTTCTGGAAGATGTGACATATATATTTAATAGTAAATACAGAAGACATTCAGGTTAAAGCTATAATTGTAAATGATATAACCTCAGCCCCCATAATATTAACATTTTTATGTGGTAAAGATGTTTTGGAAAGAATTCTACAGGTCACTGAAGCTAAAAAATGCTACCCCTTCCCCTCTTTGTCTTAACAATTGAACTTAAATCTTAGTGATAAAAGTTTAGTTCTAAATTGTAGTAAGTAAACTTGATTTAAATTATTTCAATGTTATAATTTATAAATAAGGTATTTCATGGCAAACCATATAAATCAATTAGTACAACTTACAGCACTATTGTAGCCAGCAGAACTTGGTTTAAAATAGCATATGACAATTTATGCATTTTTTTCAGGTGAGTGATGTGTGTAGCGAAAAATGCATCATAAAGCATGCGAATTCATAACTGGAACTACTAGTTTCACCAGGCTCAGCAGCTCAGTTCCTACCATGAAATATTAGACAAACACCCAATTAGTCAAGAAAGAGATGCATAGGTTTTATTAAAATCTTCGTCCCATTATTTCATTTGTAAACCCTTGTCCATTCTCTTTTAGGTACATTAAATGTACATGTTATTTAATTAACAGGCCAATAATCCAATTAATCTCAATAACCAAATTCAAATGGTCAATGAATTTGAATAGACATTTCTCCAAGTCAAAGATACAAATGATTAATAAACACATGAAAATAATACTAGGCATCATTAGTCATTAGAGAGGTTAAGATGCAAATGAAATACCATTTTAAATCCACTAGGATGGCTAAATAAAAGTGACTGATGATAACAAGTGTTTGTGTTGATATGAAGAAATGAGCACTCTCTTATACTGTGATTTACAATGTGAGATAGTGCAGCCACTTTGAAAATCATTTGACAGTTTCTCAACAAGTTAAACATAGAGTTAATAGAGCCCAACATTTCCTTTTATAGTTATATACCAAAAACAAATGAAAATATTTTTCTAGTAAATAACTGTACAGGAACCTTTATACTAGCATCTATAACAATGGAAAGGGGGAAATACCTCAACAGCATATCAAATAGTGCATAAACAAGATATAATTAACCCTTGAAAAACAGAGGTTACTGCAGGGGTTTTATATTAGTCTGTTCTCATCCTGCTGTAATGACATACCAAAGACTGACTCATTTATAAAAGAAAGAATTTTAATTGACTCACAGTTCAGCATGCCTGGGGAGGCCTCAGGAAACTTACAATCATGGCAGAAGGGGAAGCAAACATGGGATTCTTCACATGGTGGCAAGAGAGAGAATGAGAACAGAGCAAAGGGTCAAGCCCCTTATAAAACCATCAAATCTCGTGAGAACTTACTATCTGCAGAATAGCACGGGGGAACTGCCCACATGACTCAATTAGCTTCCACACGTGGGGTTTATGGGAGCTACAATTCAAGATGAGGTTTGAGTGGGGACACAGCCAAACCATGTCATTCTGCTTCGGCCCCTCCCAAATATCATGTTCTCACAATTCAAAACACAATTATGTCTTCCAACAATCTCTCAACGTCTTAACTCATTCCAGCATTAACCCAAAAGTCCAAGTCCAAAGTCTCATCAGAGACAAGCCAAGTCCCTTCCATCTGTGAGCCTTAAAATTCCAAAATGATGTCCTTTAACTCCATGTCTCACACCCATGTCATGCTGATGTAAGAGTTGGGCTTGGCCGGGCGCGGTGGCTCACGCCTGTAATCCCAGCACTTTGGGAGGCCGAGGCGGGTGGATCATGAGGTCAGGAGATCGAGACCATCCTGGCTAACAAGGTGAAACCCCATCTCTACTAAAAATACAAAAAATTAGCCAGGCGCGGTGGCGGGCGCCTGTAGTCCCAGCTACTCGGGAGGCTGAGGCAGGAGAATGGCGTGAACCCGGGAAGCGGAGCTTGCAGTGAGCCGAGATTGCGCCACTGCAGTCCGCAGTCCGGCCTGGGCGAGAGAGCGAGACTCCGTCTCAAAAAAAAAAAAAAAAAAAAAAAAAAAAAAAAAAAAGAGTTGGGTTCCCATTGCCTTGGGCAGCTCTGCCCCTGTGGCTTTGCAGGGTGCAGCCCCCCTCCTGGCTGCTTTCACAGGCCGGCATTGAGTGTTTGCAGCTTTTTTAGCCACATGATGCAAACTGTCAGTGGAGCTACCATTCTGGTGTCTGTAGGATGGTGGCCGTCCTCTCACAGCTCTATTAGGCAGTTTCCAGTGGGGACTCTGTGTGATGGCTCCAACCTCACATCTCCCTTTCACACTGCCCTAGCAGAGGTTCTCCATGAGCGCTCCATCCCTGTAACAGACTTCTGCTAGGATATCCAGGTGTTTTCATACATGCTCTGAAATCTAGGAAGAGGTTCCCAAACCTCAATTATTGACTTCTGTGCACCCACAGGCCCAACACCACATGAAAGCTGCCATGGCTTAGGGCTTGCACCCTTTGAAGCAATGGCCTGAGCTGTATGTTGGCCCCTTTTAGACATGGCTTCAGCTAAAGTAGCTGGGATGCAGGGCACCCATGTCCTGAGGCTGCACAGAGCAGGGGGGCCTGGCCCTGTTCCACAAAACCATTATTCCATCCTAAGACTCTGGGCCTATGGTAAGAGGACTTGTCATGAAGGTGTCTTACATGCCCTGGAGACATGCTCCCCATTGTTGTGGTGATTAACATTCTGCTCCTCATTGTTTCTTATGCAAATATCTGCAGCAGGCTTGAACTTCTCCCCAGAAAATGGGTTTTTCTGTTATATTTCATCATTAGGCTGCAAATCTTACAAACTTTTATACTCTGCTTCCTCTTGAACCCTTTGCCACTTAGAAATTTCTTCTGCCAGATATCCTAAATCATATGTCTCAAGTTCAAAATTCTACAGATCTCTTGTACAAGGACAAAATGCCACCAGTCTCTTTGCTAAAGCATAAAAAGAGACAACTTTGCTTCAGTTCCCAACAAGGTCCTCATCTCCATCTGAGACCACCTCAGCCTAGACTTCATTGACCATATTACTATCAGCATTTTGGTCAATGTGATTTAACAAGTCTCTAGGAAGTTCCTAACTTTCCCACATTTTCCTGTCTTCTTCTGAGCTCTAAAAATGTTCCAACCTTTTCCTGTTACCCAGTTCCAAACTTGCTTTCACATTTTTGAGTATCCTTATAGCAGTGCCCCACTCCTCCTGGTACCAATTTACTGCATTAGTTTGTTCTCATGCTGCCATAAAGACATATATGAGACTGGGTAATTTATAAAAGAAAGAGGTTTAATTGACTCACAGTTCAGCATGGTTGGGGAGGCCTCAGGAAACTTATAATCCTGGCAAAAGGGAAAGCAAACGTCCTTCACGTGGTGGCAGAAGGAAAAATGAGAACTGAGTGAAGGCAGAGGCCTCTCATAAAGCCATCAGATCTCATGAGAACTTATTCACTATCATGAGACTAGCATAGGGGAAACTGCTCCCATGATTCAATTACTTCCCTCTGGGTCCCTCCCATGACATGTGGGGATTATAGGAACTACAATTCAAGATGAGATTTGGGTGGTGACACAGCCAAATCATATGAGGTTCCCTTATATGCCCATTTTTTTTTCAACCAATGTGATTCTAAAATACAGTATTCACTGAATGAGAAACCTGCATACATGGAGGGCCTACTTTTGAATATATGGGTTTTGCAGTGCCTACAGCAGGACTAGAGTATGTATAAATTGTGCTACACATGGGAGTCCTGGAACAATTCCCTGCATATATCAAGGCACTTGTATAATGTATATCCAAACAACTGAATATTATTTGGCATTGAAAAAAATGAAGTATTGATGCATGGAGAAAATTTGATAATATTATGCTAAGTGCAAGAACTCAGTCACGAAAGATGAGATATTGACTGATTTCATTTACATTAAATGTCCAGAACATGCAAGTATATAGGCTAAAGAGGAGATTAGTGGTTGGTAGGGAATAGAAGGGAGTGAGGAGCTGGGGAGTGACTGTTATGGGCACAGAGTTGCTTTCAGGAAGTAAGATATGCAGAAAAATATATTTCAATGCTGGCTACATAACTCTGTGGATAGTATAAAAAGCATTTCATGATATATTCTACATAAATAAATGAAATGTCATGTTGATGTTAGTGTAGCCTACAAAGACGTCTTTTGGTGGTAGAGCAGACAGGATAGCCATTGCAAATAGACAGAGATATCAAGCAGATATTTTGCTGCTTTATGACTATTATCTCAACCTAATTAATAGTAGCATCCCCGTTTACTTTCAAGAGTTTCCTGAATTAGGTGATGCATGACATGATAACTAAGTGTATAAAATTATGTCCTTTCCTGGATAAGGAAGAAAAGTACAGAAGGAAGTTGAATGTACCTCTTTGGTCTCTTTGGTCTGTTCAGTTTAAGATGTCTATTAGACATTTTTTGGGAAATGTCAGATAAGTTGTTATACATGCAGTTTGGAAATCCAGTGGAGCTAATTTGGAGCTTGGGCATTTTCCAAAATCATATTTGGTCAATAAAACATTGCATGAAACAAAAGGACTAAAGTACTAAATTTTTAATAATAAAGAAGTATGTCTAAATAGTGGTGATAAATATAAATACAATATTGATTTAAATGATGAAATTCTTTTTTATACCTCAACACTTAAATGATAAAATGAGGTATGACACTGAGTAATTCAAGATCAAGTTTATGAAGAGCATTGGTGAACTCCTCAAGAATGTCCATTGGTATACAACACTATTTTTCCCTACACCTATAATATCCCCAGTTACACAGAGAATGGATGACTTGGAATTGCATTTCCCAGAAGCGTTTGACACCACTATCCAAGTTTAAATTCTGCCAAAGAAAAGCATGTGCTTGAGATTTGGAAGGTAAAATAGAAATCAGGAGTCATTTTCTTCCTCCAGCTGTGGCTAGCAGAGGAGTGAGTTTTAGCAGGTGTGGGGATTTGCAGCAGTCTTGACTTTACTCTGCAAATTACTCCTTTCAGTTCTTAGCTACTTGTGTCTGTGAGAAGTTAAATAAAATATTGAACAATCTAATTTAACTGAATTTTAAAGAAATAATTCCCTATAGCAACATATTAATTATTTTTAAAGTATTATGTTGATATATTACTTGGATATATAACAATATAATATACATCTTTATTAACCTGAAAAGAACCTTTATAATTTTAAGTCATTCCTTATAATCTTAACAAGTTAGTAATTTACTTATTTAATAATATTATAAATAATTAATATAATGTAATAGGGAATATTAGTCTGTAGCATACAGGTAATTTTGGGAAATATTATCACAGTGCTTTAATATTTTACATAACATACCATGTTTTAACATGTTACATGATTCACTGCAAAAACTACACGGGGACCTGAGACCTCCTATCTAAAACCAAGTACCCATACATGTCCCTGAAACGTTCAGTTATTTCCTGCAGATGTTATGGACCAAAAAACAATTATGATACACTTGCTCGTGTTTTTATTTCTTATCTCTGATTTTGCTACAAGCTATATATATATAAATATTTTTTAAATATCTGTATATAAAGAATTAAAACAGGGCAATTGCCATATAATCATCATTCTTTTAAAACTGTAATTCAAAATGGTCATATTAAGAATATCTCATATAAAGTCATGTGTCATGCACTACTGAAATGATAAAGACAAATAAAAGCCAAGTCCAGAGTTTATTGTGGGAGATCAGGTCCTTAATGTGTGGTATCCCTAGGATACATTCTCCAAATAATTTTGTAAATTTGAATTGAAAATGTAAATGTTATTAAGTAACAAAATAATTATTAGAACTTTCGAAAATATTGCTGTTCATTTTTTTCTAAAATTGTTTATTTAAATGTACAAGAATAGGACTTTAAGACATTTTAAAATATTTCAAAATCTACCA